>NT_167248.2:2726468-3017580 GCF_000001405.40 Homo sapiens
GGCCATGGCGGGATGATAGCAGCTCTCCTACGAAATAATGCTTATATGACAAGGGCATGAGATTCAGGCAGAGAGAGGAGAAGGTCATGGAGGAGAGGAGTCCCAGCATCTGAGAAGCCAGAGGGCGATGCATCCTCTCTGCTCTATGGGTGTTTATTGCTGCCATAAAAATTAACACAAAACAAGTGGCTTTAAACAGCATCTCTTTATCATGTCACAGTCATGTGTGTTACAATTTCAACAGTCTCATGGGGCTAAAATCAAGGTAAGGGGAGGTCTGTGTTCCTTCTGACTCTGAGGAAAAATCTACTGTCAAGCTCATTCAGGTTCTTGTCTGAATTCACTTCCTTGCAGATAGGACTGAGATCCCCACTTCCTTGCTGGCTCCTGTCCAGGGGCCACCCTTAGCTCCTAGAGCCCTCTCTCAGTTCCTCACACATATCCCATGCAACATATCCAATCCTCCTGCTTGGAACCTCTGACCTCCCCCTTCTGCGGTGTCTCCTCTGCCTTCCTCCTCTGCAGCATCTGACTCCAGCCAGAGCAGCTTCTCTGCTTTTAATGGCTTGTGAGATTTGATCGGGCCCACACAGATAGTCCAAAATAATCTTGCAATTTTAAGGTCCTTAATCTTCATCACATCAGTATTTTCCCTTTTGCCATGTAATGCAACCTACTCGTGGGTGCCCAGGATTGAGATTGGATGTCTTTGGGAACCATTACTCGGCCCATCACATCTGAGTATGTTGAAGTCACCGAGGATCAAGGAGACAGCACTGCTGGAGAGGGCGATAGTGAACCAGGAACTACAAGAGTCAGGACTGAGAGGAACGGCCTGGGGCCCACAGGGAATGGCTGCAATGAGGGGAGTGGGGCCTGAATCTGATGACAGCTTTGGGGGCTTAGGAAGGAAGGAGGCAGAAAGGTCTGAGAACCACAGTGAGGAGTGAGGATGCCACCCCACCTCTGGGCCAAGGGTACAAGGTCCCTGTGCAAACTCCCCCATGTGGGAGGACTTTGGAAGGGACCACATCCTCTGGCAGACACAGACATCGCTGGAGCTGTGAGGTCCAGGAACATCCTGAGACAGGATGTGGAGGTTTTGCTGATCATGGGCTGAGAATTCCAAGGGGCACAGCGGGAAGACTTCTGGATTTGGGAATGGGGTATGGGGAGACAAAATAGGGGTGTGCAGAGCCTTGTGGGGATGTGAATGCAGGGTGTTTGGGGGACCCAGTGTGACTGACACAAACAGGGAAAAGGCATGATGAGCTCAGTCCTGGTGGACTCAAGGCAGATGATGGTGCTGAGGCTGTGGGAGACGAGGGAGGAGGCTCAGGGGTGGCTTTCACCTGGGCTCTGTCCATGGAGGTGAGGACAGTGAGATAGTTGGGCCTCAGTGCTGTGTGGACCCTTTCTTGTCTCCCTGATGACTGGATGGAGGGCCTGGAGGAAGAGGGGTCTTAGAGGATTCACTCATGTCCCTGGGGGAGGGGGACTCACTCCAGGTCTCAGGTCTGCACTGACACATTTGTTTGTGGCTTGGGGCTGCCTGCTATAAACTATTGGGGGTTCGTCCATTTTGGAGTTATAACCTAAGGCAGAAACTCAGATGGTTCAAATGTCCTCTTCATGAAGCAATGTTATCAGCGTATAATTTAGATTGTCTTGCAAGAGTCTCATTTGTTGTTTTTCTAAATGCCTGCCAATATTGTTTGAAAATCTACAAATGTGATAAATGTATCTTCAAAGTTAACTGGTTGCAGGTTGTTTAACCTTATATGTACAGTTTCACATATGTATAAAAACAGTAGTTTGGGCCTCTTATATTCTAATAATTAAGACTTTAAGCTGTGTACACATTGCAATGCAAGTATGCGTCATGCATAACCCTAGCACTAAGAGTCAAGAGGGAAAGTACCTCTCCCCTAACATTTTACAAAGTTTCTGTGTTCTTTTTCCACTGAGTGGGAACAAGTCAGCTAGTGAGGAACATGAGGCCTTTGGCCTCATCTAAAGATACTTTAGCTACCAATTGTGAGAAGCACTGACCACCGGGAAGGCCTCCCTGCCTGGTTCCTGGACCTCTATACCATGGCAGAGGCCATCTTCCCTCCTAGTGCAGAGTGATGTCCCAGGTAGTGACCTGGTTAGCCATTGTCCACTCTCGGGCAGTTTTGCCTTCTAAGACATTGGTTTTTCTCTGAGGACCTCCCTGTTTTCAGATGATCAAAACTGGGGCCATCCACTCCCTTCTGAACCACCTCTGCCCAGTGGCCTGTGGCTGTGCCCCCAGTCACAACAGGACACCCCTTCAGAACACGCTGCAGGAAGCCGACATCTCTACACAGGCTCACACATGCACAGTGTGTGCACGGAGCTTTGGTTCTAGTTCAGGAAGAATGGGAGGAGGCTCACTAGTCCAACAGAGCTTGAGCCCTGTACCAGTGTCATATTCCAGGAGCCAGAGTTACAAGGGATACAAAGTGCCCAGACCTACCAGAGAAGGCAAACCCCTACAGCATGCAGGGCTAGACAGGGGCAAGAAACAAGGTCATTCTGGGCCAGCAAGAAGAGGGAAAGGGAAATTACAGTCATACTTCAGATATATGCAGGTTTGGCTCCAGACCATGGCAACAAAGCAAGTCACACAAATTTTTCAGTTTCCCAGTGCATATAAAAGTTATATTTACACTTGACTGTAGTCTCTTAAGTGTACAATAGCATTATGTACAAAATGAACTATGTACATACCTTAATGTAAAACTACTTTATTGCTAAAAAATGCTAACAATCACCTGAGGCTTCAGCTAATCCTAACCTTCTTGCTGTGGAGGGTCTTGCCTCAATGTTAATAATTGCTGACTGATCAGAAGGGTGGTTGCTGAAATCGCTGTGGCAATTTCTTAAAATAACACAACGAAGTTTGCAGCAAGATTATTCTCCTCACTTGGACACTTAGAGGCCATTGTAGGGTTACTAATCGGCCTGCCTTCAATATTTTTGTGTCTCACAGAATAGGGAAGGCCGGGAGAGAGAGAGAGAGTCAAGAAACCAGCCAGTTGGTGGAGAAGTCACAACATACACAACATTTATCAATAAGGTTCACCATTTTATAAGGGTGTGGGTCATGGTGTCCCAAAACAGTTACGAGAGTAACTTCAAAGATCACTGACCACAGGTCACCATACAGGTGTAATAATGAACAAGGTTGAAATACTTCAAGAATTACCAAAATGTGACACAGAGACATGAAGTGAGCACATGCTGTTGGAAAAATGGTGCCAAATAGACCTGCTTGACACAGGGTTGCCACAAACATTCGGTCTATAAATAAAAAAGCAAGAAAAAAGAAAGAAAGATGGAAAGAAAGAAAAAGCAAAGGAAAAAATGCAGTGTCAGCAAACAGTAATAAAGGAAAGCACAGTGGAAGGTGCACCTGCAAAGGGGAAATCAGCACTGAAGCAAAGTCAGGAAAAGCTTTCAAGTCAGATGGGCCTGGACCTGGGCATGAACCCTCCAGGTCCTCCCACCAGCCAGCTGAAGAGGCCTGAGCACATCTGACCCAGAGCTGGCCCCGACAGACACTTGCCCAGTGAGTGAGTGCTGAATGAAACCATCTGAGCCAGTTTCCTCATCTGCAAACCAGTGACATAATTCCTGCCTTGCAGAGTTTCAGAAGAATAAGTGAGAAAAGACACAGTGCCAAGAGAAACAGACACAAGACCTGTGGCGGGCTGGACACCAGGGCTCTAAAGCAAGTTCTGCCTAAACTGGCAAGAACATTTTTCAGGTCAGGAACAGGAGTTGTTCTGGATTCTGTCTGGGGTCAGGCTGGGAGGGAGCTGGGGGTGGCAGAGTAGGATGGGGGCAAGGGCTGTGGCAGGGCCTGGCACTGAAGTGAGGCCAAAGCCTGGAGAGAGTGGCTCCTGGTGGCTTTTGGGCAGCTCACGCAACTCCCTGCCTCACCCACTGTGTGAGTCAGCGTTCTCTAGAGGAGCAGAACTAATAGGATGTATGTACATATGTAAGGGAGTTTATTAAGGAGAATTGACTCACACGATCACAAGGTGAAGTCCCACGACAGACCGTCTGCAAGTTGAGGTGCAAGAAAGCCAGTGATGGATCAGTCCAAGTCCCAAAACCTCAAAAGTAGGGAAGCTGACAGTGCAGCCTTCAGTCTGTGGCCAAAGGTGTTTGGCTGCAGATTCCAGGACAGGACCTTCTTGTCCTCTGCAGTGACCCCCCACCTCGCCTGACTATATCTGTCCAACTTGATGGTGCCACCGAGGGTTCTGATGCAGGGAAGGAGCTGTGTGCTCTGTGTGGGAGGATGCCTTCTGCCTTTCTAGCTGGGCCTCAGGTCAGGGCTTTGAGCCTGAGCAGGGAGAGGAGATGGAAGGGAGATGGCCTTGGAGCAAACGTCTGCCCCTGCCAGTGCATCCCGTAGGTATCATCCCATCCACCAGTGCCTTGGCAGGACCCCACTCACTCAACCCTCCCCCTGGTGGTAGTCCCTGGTGGTGCCTCCTCAGGACCTCCTGCCTCCAGCCGCACAAATCCCCAAGAATGGCACGTGGGTACAAGGGTGTTGGGAAGTGTCATCCTCCAGTGCTGACTTGAGTGTGTGTGTGTGGCTGCACACGTGTGTGCATGTGTGCACAAGTGGGAATTGGAGTGTGTGTACACGTGTGTAAGTGTGAGTGTGAGAGTGGAGCATGAATGTGCAGGTGCCCACAGGCAGCAGTTGGGGTGCCAGTGTCCTCACTCCTGCCTGCTTTCCTTTCTCTCCAAAACGTGACCACACAGCAACTTAGTGACTATCTAGATTTAAGTCTATCAAACAGAAGGGAAACACAACTAGGATTCCTGTAGTGTAGGGAAGGGAAATGCCTAGCCCAGCTCTCTGATTCCCCTTTTAATGGGTTTGAGCTGCAATATGGGTGCAGAAGAGCCTCCCACAGCGCCACTGGTGGTGGAGGAAATAGCCCCTCTCATTGGCCCATTTTCACGCTGCTGATAAAGACATACTGGGAAGAAAAAGAGGTTTAATTGGACTTACAATTCCACATGGCTGGGGAGGCCTCAGAATCATGGCGGCAGGTGAAAGGCACTTCTTACATGGCAGTGGCAAGAGAAAATGAGGAGGAAGCAAAAGCGGAAACCCCTGATAAACCCATTAGATCTCGTGAGACTATCACAAGAATACCACGGGAAAAACTGGCCCCAGTGATTCAGTTACCTCCCCCTGGGTCCCTCCCACAACATGTGGGAATTCTGGGAGATACCATTCAAGTTGAGATTCGAATGGGGACACAGCCAAACCGTATCACTGGATGAGAGCAATTAGATTGATGTCATGATGTATATGGGTCCATGGGAACTTGAAAAAGTCTTCCCCTTCCACCTAGTTTAACAAGATAAACAGGAAAGGAACTTCCCTTAAGGGAAGATATTGACTCTATCCCTGAAATTAAATCACAAGAAAATAAGAAATGCATGAGATCTAAACTAAGCCATTTGGGTAAACTGTCTCAGAATTTAAAGCATCAGCAGTCACAAGCTATCAGTATCAGTGACGATTCTTTCACTCCATGGTCTAGTCCAACGAGACTGGTCAGGGCTTGCCGCCTGCTCCTCGGTGCTGTCCTGGTACTTTGAAAGTATCTGTGATTCTGTGAACTGCACCGCCAGCTGCCCAACAACTTCCCTTTGCTGATCTGAGCCAGACTCTGCTTTTATGGCTTACACCCAAATAATTCAAGTTATTTTAAAAAAATAATAATAAATCAAGTTATTCATTTATGAGTTATACAGTCCCATGTGGGGAAAGGGAAGGAGAGTGAGGTAATACTCAATTTTACTACCTGCTATGCATTTATAAGTGAGATACTTCTTTTTAAAGTCATATTTTTGGATTAGAACAAACTCTGGTATATTTAAGTAAATTCCCTGAAGAATGTGAACACCGTAAGCAGGTGAGTGCATTATTCTCTGCTTCCCCTCCACAGAGCTGTGGTTCACTCTCCTCCATCCTGCCCCCTGCACTGGGGGCACCACAGAGACAGCACGGCCTGTGCTCCTGCACCACCTGCTTCTGCTTGGGTGTGGATGATAACAGGCACCTGCAGGAGATGGGAGCGTGGGGGGAGAAGTAACTCAGGGTTTTCACTTCCCTCACTCCCTTTGGACAGCTCTGCGGTTCTGTAATCATTGCCGTCCTCTACCTACAGCCACAGGCCTGCGGGGCTGCCCCTAGTGAAAGCTACAGATTTCCGTGAGTTCTGGAAACTGCTCCCTCTTCCTTGTTCTTTCAACTCAGAGATGGAAACAGTTTCCTGCCACTGATCATCCCAGGGAGCTTCAGCACCCCTTGTGGCTTTCTTAGGCCTGCCAGCACCTCTGTAATGTGTGTCTTCTTTCTTTGTCATCTCTTTCCTGCCAGGACCCTGACTGTCCCACAGAAGAAGTGACAAGAATTTATTTATGACATGACAATAACACATGTATTCATGGTGTTAATTCGATTTGTTTCATAGAGACAGGGTCTTGCTATGTTGCCCAGGCTGGTCTTCCACTCCTGGCCTCAAGCAATCCCCCTGACTTGGACTTCCAAAGTGCTAGCATTACAGGTGTGAGCCATTGTGCCCAGCCCTTAACTTGAAAATCTGACAGTATAATAAAAGAAAAAAATAGAAGTATTCTGGAAATGGAAGAGGAAAGAAGGCTAAGGTGGAAATCATCAATCTGTGTCATCTGAGAAGCCCCACGTGCAGAGGCTGTCCCGGGACTTTAGGGGAGAACAAAAACAAAGCACCCAGGATCCTGGTGTCAGGGACAGAGCATGGCCACGGCGGGATGGTAGTGGCTCTCCTATGAAATAATGCTCATAAACATCCCTTGTGAGAAGGATCAGATCAACATATAAAAATATGCCAAATAAAGTGAAACTCAAGGCAGGAGTGGGACTGGCCATTCTCAGCCCGTGACCTCCATGGACTTGGAGAAAGGCTCAGCCTGGAGATGTGTGAGGCCTCCGACCTGGAGCAGCACCCGCCCCTAAAGACCAGGCACAAATCCCAGCACATGGAGGGATCCAGACAAATACACAAGAGATGACCACAGCAGGAGCTTTACTGGGCACAGAGCGAGGCCACACACCACTCAGCTCCTGCCCCTCCACCTGCCCTTCTCTCCCCACCTGCCCCTGCCCCAGCACAGCAGATCCTCAGAATCCAAAAAGAGAACCTAACTTCCATGTTTTATTAATGGCTTATAATATTTTATCACATCTTCAGAAAACACTATGCAGAAGATAACTGTAGAGCAAGACATCTATTTAGGGTGAGTGAGTCACAGTGGAGATCTGGGAGGGAGACCCTGTAACCCTTTCATTCCAAGAAAAGAAAGGTCGATCCAAAGAAGGGGACCCCAGGCCTGGATATTGGGATTACATGAAAGGGGTTCTGGGGCATCAGGGGAATGGGTCCCTCTCCCTACATCCTCCCGGGGCTGTGCTTGGGAGGACAGCAGCTGGGGGAAGAAAAGTCAGGGTCCACAGAGATATAAGGGGGCTGAGAACTATCTGTGTCTTGCTGGTCTGCACAAGGCAGCTCTCAAACTGTGGAGAACATGGTAATGACCAGATTCAGCTCAGCCACTCTCAGCCTTTACACCTAGAGCATTATGGGCAGCCCATCACCATCCCCTACCTTCAAATCCAAAGATCGCTACAGCCCAAAGCTGCTCCCTGGCCTCAACTCCTGTTGGTATCAGGCCCCAAGGAAGCTGTGAGCACGTCTGCCTGGGACCCTGTCACCATCTGGAGAATGACAATAAAGAGGACCCAGCAGCCTGCAGGAGGAGACTGTATTTGAGGCAGGACCATGGGATGGGTGAGGCACAGGACTGTGGCTCCATCCTCTCTATTTGAGGAGTTAGAGATGAGCTGCCTCTGCCACCCCTTCCATGGTGATATTTCTAGAGTACACCCCTGTGCTGAAATTCTTATGAGGAAAGAGACCTGATGAGATGCTATGGTGAAGAGGGGCCATAAGGGTCTTGAATACCAAGTTAATTTTGCTACCAGCTGAGATTAGGAAGTGAAGCCCAGGACCCAGGAGAGGAGGAGGAGGAGATAACACAGGACCCTGTGATCACTCTCCTGGCCATCTGTGTACAGTGAGATGCTTCCCTTCGGGGTTGGGAGCACCCAGTGTCATGGTCCTGAGTGTTGCTACCCTGCTGTTCTCATCTGTGAATGCAGCCAGACCACTTTCTTCCTCTGATATAAATAACTTGGAGGATCTGTCACCAGACACCTCATATCTACATATTAATAAATTCTGTACAGTGGTTTGGCTTAATGTTTTATATGTTATAAGAAATAAGCAAAACATAGGGATGATATTTTTAGTAAAGGTATTTCAGGGTATATGAGAATCAGATTCCTAGGGCCCTGGGTACCTCATCTTGCTGTTTAAAGTCCTCATGGAGGATCAGTGGAGTGCAGAGCCCAGAAATCATCCTGAAGGCTGAAGCTCCCTGGTGAAAAGGACCCTCTCCTGCACCCTGGGGCTCAGAGGGAACAACAAAGCTCCCTCCCAGGGTCTCCAGCCTCTGGCCTATACTGTCAGCCTGCACTTTCTTGGCCTTCCTGGCTGCTAATATTCCAGTTCCCAGCAGCCTCCTCTCTCACCCTTCACCTCTTCTGACTGGGTGCGAATGGTAACTAGACCAGGCAGTGCCCTCCTTGTCAGTCTGCCTGTCTGCCTGGTTCCCTCTCAGAGTTTGTGTCTTCACTCGGTTCATCATCCCCAGCCCCAGCAGGAACAGGGAGAAGTGACTTGGCAAATGCCCCACTCAAAATGGGATCCCTCAACCAGAGACCACTTGTGAAAGTCAGTTTTCCCTGACTAAAGAAACAGGACATTTACCCTGTTAGAAGTTGATGTCTGCCAGAGACCTCCACCTGGGAAATGCTGGTTCATGGCAGGGTCTCTCTTTTAGTAAAGGGAAAAATTCCTGGCTAATTGATAGCTAATAAGTCATTTAGAATCCAGTTCATGTAAAAGGATTACCTACTTAAAGGATTAACTCCATTATAATAAGGACACACATCCCACACCGCACATCCAATGTCATTTGTGAGATTGCTTTGATTCGCTCATGTAGAATGTTACTCTGCTGCTTTGCAGAGAGGCTTGCCACACATTTCAAATCTCTGCTCCTCATTTCACACCATCTGGCTCATGAGGTGAAGGTGATGAGAAGTGTCTTCAGACAATACTCCGAGGTTTGTCTATCAGAGTCATAGTCATATATTACATATAGAGATTATTTTCTTAGAAGTTGTAATTTATTGATATGTATTTTACTCATGGCATAGATAGATACTATCCAACAATTCGTTTTTATTACCTCTACATTACACTGCTTAGGTAGCCACTACTGGTACCTCTGCATTTTCTTTCTTGTATGTGACATTAACGTATAAGATTGTATGTACATGGTGGCTTGGTTTCCAGGAATTGCTGATTAGGTAATTTAGACCATTCCTTCCACTGAGTACAATGGGAAAAGGAGGAAAACATACATATTTGAAAAATCTGGTTGAGCAAATGGATGGGCTAACAAAGCAGTGAAGATTTGCCTGGCCAGGAACCAGGAGAGGGGAGAAATCCAGAAGAGCAACTTGAGCTGTGGGGCTGCTTTTGTGGATCAGAGGCAGTAACACCTGCTCCCTGGCCAGAAGCCAACTTCCAGGATTCAGGACTCAGAATTCAGAACTTAGACAGTCCCTTGGTCTCTCTAGAATTCAGTGCTCATTTAGACCGGGCTAAGACCCTCACACTCAATGGCTGGAGGATCCAAGCTTATGGCATGACTGCCTCTGGAGCATTTCATGCTAGAGAGATCCCAACAGGTGTAGGTAAATGGTCTAGAGGGTACTAGCCAGGCTTCCATGGAACTCTGTGTAAGGCACTTCCCTGTGTTGTTACTCATGTTGGCCATGTCCTCGGGAATTTAGTGGAACGGCCATGTCGTCTTGAGTGGAAGTGAGGACGGTGAGGGGGTCCCTGGGCAGTCAGAGATTTTGTGTCCCTGCGTCCTTTCCTTCCATCTCAACCAGAGACCACTTGTGAAAGCCCAAGAACAAATGTCATTAAATGTCCGAGGCGAATCCAAGACCACCGATCCATTGCGCCCAGGAGCCTTGGGCCATGTAGCCCAGCAGTAGTGAGGTCTGTGAGGCCTTGGTCACCCCCAAAGTGTTGCCCCAAGAGGAGCTGCCGCTCGTTGCCATCAGGCACCTCAGGAGCTGGACATGGTATTCATTATAATTTCTGATGAGGAACTAGAGAGGTCTCATAGCATATAGACCTTGATCAAATTGGGTCATGGTGGAGTCAGGCAAAACTCTGCAATGACTCACAGGTACCTAAGTATAAAACAAAGTCTCAACTCAGAGCATCCATCAGAGCTTCAGGCTCAGTAGTCATTCCTTTATGCTGTTGCTGTGTTTGTACTGTGATAACTGGTGCTTGAAGGGAGGACATATAGTTACATGTTGCGGGAAAACACATGTCATTAGAAAACTTGGCATGATTTAGGGACCATTGCCTTTTCCATGGTAGATGTGGGACTCTCTGTCATCTTCACCTTGTTGTTCCAAGTGCAGAAGAGAAAGCTTCTTCCTGCTTTCAGCTGCGTGACTGACAAGGGAAGCTGGAATTCAGAGAATCAGTGGCAGCCTCTGTCTCTCCAGGCCCCAACCCTGCAGGTTTAAGGAATGGACTTAGGTCTCTGGCACTTTGTTCTCAACACACATTTTCCTTCACTCATTCAGAAAAAAAAAAATAATAATAGAAAATGAACCAAAGGCTGCAATTCTCATGGCACCTAGAGAACTGGAGTACGGACCAAGGTTGCCACATGCCTGTCATTGCTCCACCACACTCGGTTGCCGTGTGACCTCGGGAGAAGCTCTCTACCACTAGGGACTTTTAAACTCATCTGTGAATCCTGGATAAACACAGACATTCCGGTAACCTTACTGAAATGAAGTGAGGACCAATGAGTTGACAGGTGGAGAAAAATTTTTTTTTTTTTTTTTTTTGAGACGGAGTCTTGCTCTGTCACCCAGGCTGGAGTGCAGTGGAGCGATTTCGGCTCACTGAAAGCTCCACCTCCTGGGTTCATGCCATTCTCCTGCCTCAGCCTACCGAGTAGCTGGGACTACAGGCGCTCACCACCACACTCGGCTAATTTTTTGTATTTTTAGTGGAGACGGGGTTTCACCATGTTAGCCAGGATGGTCTCGATCTCCTGACCTCGTGATCCGCCCGCCTTGGCCTCCCAAAGTGCTGGGATTACAAGCGTGAGCCTCCGCGCCCGGCCGCAGAAACAGAAAAATTTAAGTGATGGCCTTTACTCCTAGACAGGGCTTTTTTAGGAACATGCACCTTAAAAGTAGGAGGAAAACATAATGCCAGCAACACCCTGCCTAAAAGCCCCTTTAGTGATGATAATTATCATTCATCTTTCTATAAAAGTACAGCAAGACTTTCTACCTCAATATCTCAAATCAGTTAAATATATCTTCTGATCATATACCAGTGTGGACCCACATGTTTTGCTCCAAGTGAAAATGAAAAGGAATGAGAACATCTCCACCTTTGTGTGGTGACCATGGGACCACGGAGGCTTGGAAGCCAGCCTACATCTGCCCAAACTCTACATCACCTGCCATTGTCAATTTTCAATCTATCCGTTCTATGCTTTGGAATCCTACGTAATTCATACTCTTGAAAAATCTCATTTTCATATGTAGGGCAGGGTAGAAAAGGTGATATCTCTGTTTTAATTTGCTAAGACTTCCATAATAAAGTGGCACAGACTGGGTAAGTTAAACAGTAGAAATGTATTATCTCCCAGTTCTGGAGGCTACAGGTCCACGATGGAATGTATTGCAGGGCTGATTGCTCCTGAGGCCTGTCTCTGGCTTACAGATGGCCATCTTCTCCCTCTATCTTGTCAACATTGGCCTCAAAATATGTGTACAGGGACACAGTTTAGCCCATAAGAGTCTGCGCCATCCTTGGCGGTGCATATTATAAGAAATAAAAGAGAATACAACCCTTTGGCTGGACTCTGTTGATATTTTGAAATGTTGGTCTTGCAATAAGAACACCACCAAAGGCCAGGCGCAGTGGCTCACGCCTGTAATCCCAGCACTTTAGGAGGCCGAGGCGGGCGGATCACGAGGTCAGGAGATCGAGACTACCCTGGCTAACACGGTGAAACCCCTTCTCTACTAAAAATACAAAAAGAAAAATTAGCCGGGCGTGGTGGTGGATGCCTGTAGTCCCAGCTGCTCGGGAGGCTGAGGCGGGAGAATGGTGTGAACCCAGGAGGCAGAGCTTGCAGTGAGCCAAGATCTCGCCACTGCACTCCAGCCTGGGCGACAGACCAAGACTCCATCTCAAAAAAAAAAAAAAAAAAAGAACACTACCAAAACAAGGGAGCCGAAGTTTAGTTTTCCCTGGAAGGTGAGCACTCCCTGAGCCTGGCCGCCCCAGGGCAGCAAGACCCAGTGCTATGTAGTTCTCCAAAGTCCTATTTACTTTAGTGATTCTGATTCTGTATTTTTAACTGGGAAAAGGATTCTCTTTCAGGAAAGCAACCACTTCTGATGCTATTTAGGTATTATTCTCCTTATACTTATAGGAGAAAAAATTGATGTTAATGAACAGGAAATATTTGCCAAATTATCACACAAATAATTTTTGTATCATTTTAAAATACTCCTTATTGTACTGAGCTTGTTGGTATTTTAATAAAAATTATTGGCATATAATATTTATACATACTTTGGGGTACACATAATATTTTCATGCATGTGTAGAATGTGAAATGATCGAGTCAGGATATTTAGGATACTCATCACCTCAAGCATTTATCAGTTATTTGTGTTGGGTGAATTTCAAATCCACTCTTATAGCTATTGTGAAATACACAATACATTGTTGTTAACTACAGCCAGCCTGCTGTGCTATCGAATATTAGAATTTATTCCTCCTATTTAACTGTATCTTTGTACCCATTAAGCTACCTCGTTTTATCTCCCAGATCCCCCACACACCCTTCCCAGCTTCTGGTAACTATTATTCTACTCTCCACCTCCATAAGATCAACTTTTTTTCAGTTCTCACATGTGAGTGAGAACATGTGATATTTGTCTTTCTTTGCCTGGTCTATTTCACTTAACATACTGACCTCCAGTTCCATCCATGTTGCTGCTAGTTATTATGAGGTAGTTCTAGCTGGAAGAATAGAGAATTAAAAGAAATCTTTGTGAAGCCCCTACCCAGGTTTGTCAATTTGTAACATTTTAATATTATTGGCTATATGTAGTATACATAGAAAATAATAGAAATATATGCAGATAGCCCTGATTCTCCACAGTTCTGTTATGTATGTGTTTCCGCTGAAACACATACAGTACAGTACTCTATGTACTGTACAGTACTACTGTACTGAGTACTGGACTGCCAGTGGGGAGTGGCGGATGTCTTGAATTTGGTGAATGCCTTTATATTGCTACAAAGTGTTTTTTTTTTTGGTTGTTTGTTTTGAGACGGAGTCTCGCTCTGTCGTCCAGGCTGGAGTGCAGTGGCGGGATCTCGGCTCACTGCAAGCTCCGCCTCCCGGGTTCACGCCATTCTCCTGCCTCAGCCTCCCAAGTAGCTGGGACTACAGGAGCCCACCACCACGACCGGCTAATTTTTTTGTATTTTTAGTACAGACGGGGTTTCACTGTGTTAGCCAGGGTGGTCTCGGTCTCCTGACCTTGTGATCCGCCCGCCTCAGCCTCCCAATGTGCTGGCGTGAGCCACCGCGCCCGGCCTACAAAGTTTTTTAAATCCTTTCGTTTGACATGATTTTAGACTTTGTAAAAATTGTTTTTTGTTGAATGTATCATTCTGTGGCTTGCTTTATCGTTTAATATGGTCTATGAGGTGAACCCACACACCCATAGAAACAGTTCATTTGTTTTCAGTGCTGGATAGCATTTATGAGACGAATATCCCACAATTTATCTCTTCTCCTGTCCGCGACCTTTAGCTTGTTTCTGTTACAGACACTGCCACAATGAACATCCTGGGTCATCTCTCTCTGGTCCCCTGTGTGAGTTCCCCAAGATACGGATGTAGGAATGGGATTACTGTGCTTTTACCATGTGATGTTATAGGATGTCAAATTGTTCTCTGAAGAGGTTGTATCAACTCCCCCCTTTAAAATCTTCTTTGACATTTTACAGGTCAAGTTATCTTCCTCCCCAACTAGCTGCTCAGCCTCAGTCCCCCTTCATTGGCTCCTTTTGCTGTAGATGCTGGAGCACTGTGGGGTTTTACTGCCTCCCAATCACTCTAGTGTCCTCCACTCCCAGGATTTTAAATATCGTCTAGACACAGATGGCTCCCAAATGTATATCTCTACATATTTCTATAATCAAAAAACTAATGGTACCAAAACAGGTACTCTGATATATTGCAGATGGGCCTGCAAACTGGAAATGTTTTCAGGAAAGGCAGTATGGCAATTTCTGTCTAAATTAAAAATGCATACACCCAGTAGTCCCACTTCTAGAAATGTGTCCAAAAATAGACCTGCATTCCTGAAAAATGACTGTATTCAGAATTATATGATGCAACCCTGTTTGTAAAATCAAAAAGGAAAGAAGAAAGAAAATGAAAGATAAAAGAAAAAATAATCCAAATGTCTGTCACTAGCGGACTAGTTAAAAAAGCATTGCAAGCTGGGCACAGTAGCATTCACCTGTGAATACACTCTACTCCACTCTGGGTAACATGAGGAGGCCTCCCTACCTTCCTAAGAAAACCCAAACAAGCACTGCATATCTACACGGCTGAGTCTACAAACATTTAACACAAAAGAAGAAAGACATAGGAAACTCTTGATATTCCCTCATGGG
This sequence comes from Homo sapiens, assembly GCF_000001405.40. NCBI lineage: Eukaryota > Metazoa > Chordata > Mammalia > Primates > Hominidae > Homo > Homo sapiens. Next base: position 2,741,467 of record NT_167248.2, read on the forward strand.
ATGGTCTCCATGATACATTGTTAAGAAGAAATAAAGCAAGGTGTAGAATAACATATAGAGTCTGCTAAAATTTGTGTGAAAAGGGACAAAGAGATATATATACACATTTATATTTGCTTGCATATGCATAAAATATATTTGGAAGAATAAGCAAGAAGATATCCCTGGTTGCCTGTTGGGGATGAGACAAGGTAAGAAAGAGACATTTTACCTTTTGAATATTTTGAATTTTGAATTTTGAACTATATCAAGAAATAAAAGATAATTCCTAGGGCAACCAAACAAACCCCAAAAAAATTCAAAATGAAAAACCTTTTAAAAACTAATAGAATTTTTTTACCTTTATTAAAATAAATTTTAAAAATTTTCTAAATATTATATTATTCCTTTAACAAGGAGGTTTACTGCCATTTTAATTCAGTACGTTGTTTTCTTTTTAATCGCATGATCTTTCTTTACATCTATCTTTTTTCCATTACAAGGTAAAATAACAGCATGATTAATTAAATGCAATTTGTTTGGTGAAGGAAATTTTGTTCAAATCTTGGTCTAAGTGGGAAAGGGATTCTAGGGGATCCAGTGCAGCAGTTATGGGTTTCAGTATGCTCACGACGCCCTCCAGTGTTTGTGTGGGCTCATGGATGCCATATCTAGAAAACACTGGAATTCTCAAGCACACGTGACTGAAGCCATTTGCCAAATGTTCAAGGTCCTATTAATGGCCCATCTGAGTACTTGTCATACACGGTCACCCTATCTTTGGATCAGAAGGTACACTCAGAGCTCCTAGTGTCACATCCCAGGCCCAACCTGCTGAGATTAGTCGAGGAAGGTCTGGAGGTCAGTGTCGTGAGGGGTGGGAAGACTGAGGGTGTGGGGGCCAGTTGTGGAGTGGCGGGAGCCCCAGGTGCTGTATGAAGCCGAGCCTCTGGATCACCCTGTGACCCCACATTTGGTCCCTTCCTGGGTGTCTTCCATTCCCAGGACTCCCAGGAAATAAAATGCTGCAAGATTGGGGTGGGGAGCTGTCCAGGGTAGGTCAGGTGTGTTCTCACTGATCCCACACCTCTGCCTCCCAGCCCACTCCCAGCCCTCTTCTGATATTAGAAACCAACACAGATTGCCTTAGGGTGGTGGTTCTCAAAGTGTGGTCCTGGGGGAAGCAGCATTGGCATCACCTGGGAACTTAGATATGCAATCTTCAGGGCCTGGCCTGGACCTACTGTATCAGAAACTCTGCATTTAACAAGCCCCCAGCAGAATTCTGCTTTTCAAATCAGATCTCTCTCTCTCTCTCTCTCTCTCTCTCTGTTTCAAGTCTCAATATTGAGTAGCTGTGACTTCTGGATAGTCAGGTGTCAGACACCCTTTCTTGCCAGGAGGCACCAGGCTCCTCAATCAGCTTAGTCTCATTCTTGGCCTGGCCCAGGGAAAGATGTTCACTTCCTGGATTCTGAGCAAAGCTCTCCTATCCTGGGTGCCTGTGGGGCTCCCACTTACACCACAAAACAAAGCTCAAATAATATTTTTTTCTTTTATGAGATTTTTGGTATTCCTTCATTAGTCAGAGCTGAAGATCTACATATATGTCTACCAAGCAAGTGTGCATGTCCCACTAGCCAGTTTGTTAGTCTTGCCAATGCACCACAACGTAGCAGCCTCTCAGTCTCTCCTTGTGAGGTGTTACCTGGAGTTCTTTGTCTCACCACCAAGAGAATTAAGGAGCGTGGATACAAAGGGTGAGGTTGGAGCAAAAGTTTAATAAGCAAAAGAAGAAAGCTCTCCCCTGCAGAGAGGGGACTTGGAAGATGGTTGCCATTTTTACAGCTGAATGCAAAGGCTTTTACAAGAAACTGATGAGGGCTGGGTGTCTCATTTGCATAAGGCACGAATTTCCGGTAGCTCCACCCCATCCTCCTAGTGCCCATGCAGGCCCTTAGCTTGAGTTACTCCATATTGCTTTGTTTCCCTGACTGCCCACGTATCGGGGGACAGAATTTTCCATTGCGGGCATGTCTGGGCAAGTCTCCTGTGCAGCCTTTCTTATTTGTGCAGCTGTGGGCATGTCTTAGGCAAGCCCCCCTGTGCAAGTTCCCTTCTCTGTGCCTGCAGGCCGTTCTTTTGTTTGAAATAATTCAACTGAGGACCCACCATAACTGCCCGCCCGACCAGTTTCTTCCTTTTTCCTCTCTCAATTTGTGTTATGATTTCCTTACTGATCTCTGCCTGAGCAAGACTGGGCACGCCTTGAGGGCAAGGAGGGTTTATTTGCTCTTACCTCAGTTCCAGCTCCTCTTAAAACAATGCCCCACGCACAGTAGGTATTTGATAAATGTTTACCAAATGAAGGGATTGCCTGGAATGGCTTGGCAGACAGGAAAGCAGAATGAAAACCCACAGGCCAAAAATGGCTGGGAAAAGATTTTCCAAATCCTAGTGCTGGGCACAGGGCCCACTGAAATTCACTTTCGGAAACTTCCCATCTGTCTCGTTCTCCTCTCATCAGGATAGAGCCCACCTAGTCACACACTACCTTTCAGGACCACCTTCCAGATCAGCCAGGTACAAATCCCACAGACTTCCTGCCTGTGGCTCCAAATGCTCAGCTGAAATTCTGAGGCTAATTTCAGTGGAGTTAGAGGCTTATCCCTTAGGAGTGGCAATGGCTGGCTTTAAGATTCGAGAAGTAGTGTTTACATCTCAAAAGAGAAGACCGCTCCACCAGAAATGCAGAGTTTTTGTATGTGCGGGTCCGGGGTCTTCAGGAGATAAAGAATGATAGCTCCAGGAGCGCTGGGACCCCCGTGCAGCCACCAGTCACCACAGCCTAGGCAGGGGTTGGGCTCTCACCTCGGCCCCTCCCCTGCACGTCCTGGATGTGGATGGTCCCCGAGTGTGAACTCGCCTGGGCTCTGACCCTGGGTGCCCTTCCCGCCGTTGTGGAGCCTCTGCGGGTGTGGTGCATGCACAGGGGGCTTCACAGGAGACCCGGGGCCCTTTAGAGTCTCAAGGCCAACATTCTTGGAGAATCCATGTCAAGCATTCAGGCTCTCAGGGACTCAGATGCCCAAACTATGAAAATGAGGGAATCTATCCCACTCTCTCAGGTGTGGTGAGATTCCTATTATATGACTATCGGTCATCTATACATGGATTGTACTCTCAGAGTTGCCTTTATCAGTCGGCCAATGCCTAAAACCCAAAGATGGGTCAGGCATGGTGGAGGACGAGTTCCTTTCTTACCTTCTGAAGGTGCCATCAACAGGAATTTCTACCCTGTGGAGTCTAGAGGAGACTTTCCTTGAAGCTGAGTTGGGAATGGACATTTGGACTTTTTTTTTTAAGAGTTAGTAACTCCGTGGAGAACCACACATTTATTTGCTTACTTTAATTCTACAGCAACATTCGAGGTGGCTTACTGCAACAAACCCAGTGTAATAAATACATACGAATTACTTTAAAATAACACCAAGGAAAATATACATTTTAAAAGATTAAGGCTGGGGTAAAGCTGGAACATTACTAGGCGGGAAGGAACATCTGAAACATTTGCTGAAATGGAGTTGACCCTTTACCTGGCCATAGATTTGTTGCCTCACGATTTCATTACATCTGAGCACCAGGGAGGGGGGTGGCAGTTCAGGTCACCAGTCCCTTGTTTCCTGCTTCAGGAACAGTGTCCTGTTCTACACTTACAGTCAAAGCAAATTACATCGTTGTAAGATGTTTAATGATGAAGTCAAAGTCCACAGAGTCAGCAAGTAAGTGTAAAAACCTCAGGAGTCCAAGGACAGTCTACGTTTCTCCCCAGAAATGGCCTCACTATGCACTGTTGAAGGGAGAGGGTCCTTTCAAGGGGCCCCAAGATGCAGGAGCAATTGGGCTGCAGCTCTAAATAAAGATGTCCTTTCTACCTGCAGATTCCACAAAACCTCACAGGCAAATTTGGTGATCTCACCTGAGCTAGGAATTCGGTTTTTTGACGTTGGTTCTCTTTGAGCCATTGTGTGAGCTTTAAAATGTGATGTGGAGATTTTGCTATACTGGTATTTCCTTGCTGGAATTTGACATCCACAGTGGCTCTGGCTTCCCTGTCTGGTCCCAGGAGGAAATGGAGTGTCCTGCACTTTTTTTCAGCATCGCTTTGTGTAAGAAGGATCAGGAGACCTGGAGTCAGGGGCTCCTCCAATCTCACTCTCCTTCATAAAACAGTGTCCCTTAAGCTTTCTGGGGGTGAGGGCCTTAACACCGTGCTGTTCTGATGAATATAATTGTCCCAGCTCCCGAAACAAAAGCACAGGTGCACAAAATACCGACTGTTGCAAGCAATGCCAAGGTGGGGATGTTTCCTAGGTGCCAGGTTTAGCACTTTGACTTTGTATATACACACACAGGGGCCAGGCGTTGTGGTTTATGCCCGTAATCTCAGCACTTTGGGAGGCTGAGGCATGAGAATTGCTTGAAGCCAGAAGTTCAAGACCAGCATGGGTAACAAAGCAAGACCCAGTCTCTACCAAAAAAAAAAAGAAAAGAAAAGAAAAGAAAAAAATACACACACACACACACACACACACACACATACTGGGTGTGGTGGCTCCAGTCTGTAGTCCCAGCTACTCGAGAAGCTGAGGTGGGAGGATTGCCTGAATCCAGGAGTTGGAGCCTGCAATGAGCTGTGATCGGGACACTGCTCTAGCTTGACCATCAGAGTGAGACCCTGTCTCAAAAACAAACAAACAAAACAAAACAAAATACATACACACACACAGCCAGAGCCAGCACTGAGGGAGAGGCTGGCCTCAGGGGTGGGGTCACAGGCATTTCTCAGGTCCCTCTCAGTGGTCTTTGTCTCTTTTTCCTGGAGGTGGAGGAGTCTGTACTTCATGAGGAGAAGTCCTCTGAAGAAGGCGGGAGATACTCAGGAGCGGGGTCCGGAGAGGGAAAAGGATGAGGAAGTGGAGACAAAGTGGAGGGGGCAGGGCAAGAAGGGCACATGTGAGGAATGGGGAGGGGGAGGACCTTCCAGCTGTCAGAAAGGTCCCACGCAGAATTTGGCTCTTGGTTTTTCTGCTTTATCAGGATGGATTTGGGAAACCAGCCGGAGCGGGAGATAAGGAGTCTACTTTGCAAAGGACACGTGTGAGTCTCCTCCTAATTTGAACTCATGAGTAGCAGCTGACAGCCAGGACCCTTGCGTGGGGCGCGTGACGCCCCTTTGCAACCAGGGCGTTTTCTGCACCCCACCAGCCATCCCTCCTGGGACCACGCTGGTCCTCTCCAACCCTAACAGGGAGAGAAGGAAGGAGAGGTCTGGAGGCTTTGGGTCCTCCCTCGTGCTCCTTCTTCCTCTGCCATTTATTCCCTGAGTGTCCTTGACTTTCCTCCGCTACCCGGACCCCACTACAGCAAAGCACATCCTGCACACTGGCCTGGACTCCCTTTGTAACCACCCAGTGTGTTCACCTTGCTGACTGCCTAGACAAAGCCGATTTATCAAGGCAGGGGAATTACAATAGAGAAAGAGTAATTCATGCAGAGCCGGCCGTGCGGGAGACCAGAGTTTTATTACTCAAATCAGTCTCCCCGAAAACTCTGATCAGTTTTTAAGGATAATTTGGTGGATAGGGGGGGCCAGTGAATCAGGAGTGCTGATTGGTTGGCTCCGGTATGAAATCATAGTGAGTGGAGGCTGTTCTCTTAGGCTGAGTCAGTTCCTGAGTGGGGGGCCACAGGACTGGTTGGCAGGTCCAGATGGGGTCCTCCAGTTGTTAGAAATGCAAAAACCTGGCCTGGCGTGGTGGCTCACGCCTGTAATCCCAGCACTTTGGGAGCCCGAGGCGGGCGGATCACGAGGTCAGGAGATCGAGACCATCCTTGCTAACACGGTGAAACCCGGTCTCTACTAAAAATACAAAAAATTAGCCGGGTGTGGTGGCGGGAGCCTGTAGTCCCAACTACTCAGTAGGCTGAGGAAGGAGAATGGCGTGAACCCGGGAGGCGGAGCTTGCAGTGAACCGAGATCGCGCCACTGCACTCCAGCCTGGGCGACAGAGCGAGACTCCGTCAAAAAAAAAAAAAAAAAAAGCAAGAAAAGAAAGAAAGAAAAAGAAAAAAGAAATGCAAAATACATCTCAAAAGGCCGCTCTGAGGTTCACAATAGTGATGTTACCTTCAAGAGTAACTGGGGAAGTTGCAAATCTTATGACCTCCGGAATAATGGCTGGTAATATTCAGAATTCCAGCCCCTCTCATCCTAACTTAATGGCTGGCGGCCTTTCATTCGTTTTAAAAGAACACTTTCCCTTTAAACTATAAATTCCTTCCCAAGGCTAGTTCGGCCTATGCCCAGAAATGAACAAGGGCAGGTTAGCGGTTAGAAGCAAGATAGGGTGAGTTAGGTTTGATATCTTTCACTGTCATCATTTCCTTACTTATAATTTTGCAAAGGCGGTTTCACCTTGGCTTCAGCCCCACCCATGCAGTAACACTGTGCCCTGTCCTTCCAACCACTGCCACTAGGTGAAAGCAGAGAGAGCATCGCCCAGATGGGCTAGATTCTTCTCACAGGCTCACTGCTAGAACGAACATTCTTGAGACTTTAGATCTAAGCCAGCCTGATTTCTGAAAGCCTTGGACCGTTTCCAAAATCAAATCAATACTCCAGGAACAAGATCTGCCTCGACTTTGTCTCCATCCAAGGACGCTATGGCAACGCAGTTTTCAAACGTGCTTTGAGAATAAATGGAACAGGGTCCCCTGTGTCCCCACTCATTTGCGTTTTCCTTTTTATTACAGCCAACCCCTTTTGTAAATATTGTTACACATCTCTCTATTCCACTGAAAACATCTCTTTCAAAGGCACTTTAAGAAAGATTCAATGACATGAAAATATGAAGGATCCTCTTGAAAGAGTTTCTGGTGGTGGGTTTTAAAGAACATTTTGGTTTTTAAAACTCTGTAACCATTTTGGTGTGGGGCTTAGCTTCGTATTTTCAAATTGAAATATTCTCTTCCTTAACGTCCGCATAAATCCAAGTTCACAATTTTTATTATTTTAAAATTTTATTTATTTTTGTTTTGGGGACAGGTTCTCCTCCTGTCACCCAGGCTGGATTGCAATGGCACAATCATAGCTCACTGCAGCCTGGAACTCCCCGGCTCAAGCGATCCTCCTGCCTCCAATTCCCAAAGAGCTGAGATTATAGGCATGAACCACTGCAACTCACCCAAATCCAAGTTTATACTAAAAGATAAAATTCCAACATTTCAGAGAAAATGAAAGTCACAAAGTTATCCCAGTCTCTGAAGTCACTGTCAAAACTTTGGTGAGGAATCTTCCAGGTTTTCCCCTACTTAAAATATATATTAATATTATGTAAGTAATATTAGCGGCATTTTCACCCAGGCTGGAGTGCAGTGGCACGATCTCAGCTCACTGCAACCTCCACCTCCCGGGTTCAAGCAATCCTCCTGCCTCAGCCTCCCGAGTAGCTGGGACTACAGGCGCCGGCCACCATGCCTGGCTAATTTTTGTATTTTCAGTGGAGACAGGGTTTCACCATATTGACCAGGCTGATCTCCAACTCCTGACCTCAGGTGATCTGCCCACCTTGGCCTTCCAAAGTTCTGGGATTACAGGCGTGAGCCACTGGGCCCAGCCTCCTTAACCTTTTAAAAAAGGTTAAAAGTATGCTGGGCACTTCTTTTCATAGCAATACTTAAAAGCAATCTTACTCTTTTTAATGACTGTATAGAATTTTATAATATAACTCTTCTTTGGGAGACAATTGAAATGTTCTTTATCTTCACTGTGGTAGTGGAGATGTGGGTGTGTACAACAGCTAAAATTCAACAAGTTGAACACTTTAAATAGATGCAGTTTATTGCATGCAAAGTATGTCCCAATATGATGATTTAAAAATATTATCGTCTTTGAGATTTGTACTTTGCTTATGTGAAACAAAACAAAACAAAAACCCTGTTCTTGTGCCCAGGAGACACACCCTGACACATCTGGAGGTAGAGGGTCATGCTGTCTGCAACTTACCCTCACAGGCTCTGAAATAACAATAATAGCAGTATATTTACAGATTCAGAAAGAGAGAAAGCTATAGTAAAAATGTTCATAACTAAAACTAGATAAAGGGCAAAAATAAATAATAAAACTACGTCTTTTAAATTTTATCTCTCCTTTACTTTTTCTCTCCCCTTTTCTTCCTATCTCTTCCCTCCTTTCTTAACACGTCCCCCTATCCTTCCCTCCTTTCACCACTCTCTGCACTTGATCCCCGGTGTATTCCAGCCTCCAGGCCAACACACTTCACCGCGTCCGCCTGGGGCAGGTCAGAAAAGGGACGCGAGGCGGCGCTGTCACAGCATTCTATGCGCCCCAGCGCCCTGGGCCGCGCTGGTCTTGTATCATTTCAGTGGTCCCTCCCGTCTTTGACGGGGCCAAACTCGGGGTGTAAATTAGGATCCTCACTGAAGCGGCGGGACCCTGAGAGGCTTTTTCCTGGCCCCTTAGTTGTGGGTTTTCCTGCGGGCGGTGGAGCCCGTTTCCATCAGAACCGCCCAGAGGCGGGCGCTGCCTTCCAGGGGTGAAGTGTTTTCGGACCCCGGAATCTGTGGGCGGCCTGCGGGAGGGGCTGAGGCGCAGTTCCCTACTCACCCAGGTCCGAATCCACCGCGGTGCTGTTTCCAGCGAGTCAGATTCCAGATCGCGCTCCAGCCTGGACTCGGAATTCCTGCCCCGCGGGTCTGCATTTTCACAGCGGCAGGTGTGAGTGCCGCGCAGCTGGAGACCAGAAGCCTGAGGCAGCTCGGCCCTCCCCAGCCCAAAGTGCCGTTATTCCGTTTCTGTATCAGTAAACACGTTTCATTTTCCGTAGACCAGGGAAGGGTGATGGGTGATCCCAGTCCTCGCAGTGAATTCCGGGCCACAAAATTCAAAACGCTTGCGGGCAAAGCCGTGCGCGGTGGCTCAAGCCTGTAATTCCAGCACTTTGGGAGGCCGAGGCGGGCGGATCACCTGAGGTCGGGATTTCCAGACCAGCCTGACCAACATAGAGAAACCCCGCCTCTACTAAAAATACAAAATTAGCCGAGTATGGTGGCGCATGCCTGTAATCCCAGCTAGTCGGGAGGCTGAGGCAGGAGACTCACTTGAACCCGGGAGGCGGAGGTTGCTGTGAGCCGAGATCGCGCCACTGCACTCCAGCCTGGGCAACAAGAGCGAAACTCAGTTTCAAAAAAAAAAAAACAAAAAACAAAAAGCTTTCGGGCGCCGAGGGCAGCCCCGCCCTGAATTTTGTGAGCGACCGCGCTGGGCCGTTTCTCTTTCTTTTCCGGACCCTGCAGTGGCGCCTAAAGTCTGCGAGGAGGAAGTCCTGCGAGGACTTAGTCCCTGAGTCCAGGGATCTAAGGCAAGTGCTGAGGGAGAAAACATAGTTGATGGGGCAGAGCAGAGGGGGCTGGAGGTGGGGTGGAGGGGGAGAGCTTTGAACAGAAGACCTGGGAGGCTTGGTGGGGGAGGGGACCCAGGCCTCGGCGCTGAGAAGCAACTCCCCTGGAGCTCAAGACCATCTTGGCCTCCCCTAGCCCAGGGGAGGACTGGCTTCATGTCTCCCTGAAACCGCTTCTAAATGCCTTAGAACAAACCTTAAATATTCATTATTATTATTGAACTATTAAAAGTCTTTTTTGGAGGCGAGCTGAATGAGACCCTTTGCTGGAGCTGGCACACGGAGGAAGTCCTGGAGGGAGGGTAGTCACCGTGGAAGGAAGGGCTTGGGACCTGTGTCAGGAGAGCTGGGTCCATCTCCCTCTCTGTCTCAAACTATGCTTATGATCTTTAGCAGCGAAAATAATCTCTCTAAGGTGGGGACAGGACCCCAGTCCCTGCTGTGCTTAATAAATTATGAGGATCAAAATAAATTATCAGTGAATGTGTATGGGAAGACTAAGAAATTGTTAAAATTCTCGAGTACATTACATTTTCATCCACAGAAAAGTGTAGGCTAGGGATGATAGGGGAATAGTTAGTAATGACAGGGTTAGTTGAACTTAAAAAAAAAGGTTGTGAGGCCAACAAAAAAGAAATGGACACAGTTCCTGATCCTGGAGGGTTCATAGTCTAATGGGGGAGGAGGGTAGAAGATGGTAGGTGATGGCTGGGTGTGTGGCACTCGCCTGTAGTCCCAGCTACTCAAGAGGCTGTGGTGGGAGGATTGCTTGAGCCCAGACATTTGAGGCTGCAGTGAGCTATAATCACGCCACTGCATTCCAACTGAGTGACACAGCAAGACTCCTCTCTTAAAAAAATAAAATAAAATAAATGAAAAAAAATAAGATTCAAGACAGGGCACAGTCGGTACCATCAGGAAGGTTCAAACCATGGGCTAGATCAGTAGTTCTAAAACTTGACTACACATCGGAATCACGTAGGGAACTTTAAAAGATACTAAGGTTTAGGTCCAACCTAGGTTTACTGATTTAACTGGTTGTGGCTGTGGCCTGGGAACATGGATATTAAAAACTCTCCAGGTGGTTCTACGCAGTGGCTAGGTTTGAAGACCACCGCCTAGATGTCCCAATGACTAAGAATGTGCGCTGGGGACAAGCCAATTCTCTTAGTAGAAAGAGGCTTTCCAGACAGAATTCTTATTATTGAGAATTGAGAATTCATATGCCACACATAATTTATCGCTTTAAAGTGTACAGATCAGTGGCTTCTAGCATAATCACAAGGTTGTGCCACCGTCACCACTATCTACTTGGGAAGATTTTCTTCCTTTTTTTCTTTTTTTTTTTTTTTTTTTTGAGGCGGAGCCTTGCTCTGTTGCCCAGGCTGGAGTGCAGTGGCGCAATCTCAGCTCACTGCAAGCTCTGCCTCCCGGGTTGACCCCATTCTCCTGCCTCAGCCTTCTGAGCAGCTGGGACTACAGGTGCCCGCCACCACGCCCAGCTAAGTTTTTTGTAATTTCAGTAGAGACGGGGTTTCACTGTGTTAGCAGGATGCTCTCGATCTCCTGACCTCGTGATCTGCCCACCTCGACCTCCCAAAGTGCTGGGATTACAGGCGTGAGCCACCGTGCCCGGACCCTTTTTCCTTTTTTTTTTTTTTTAAAGGCTAGTCAAGTGAAACAGTGGGAGTGAAGATGAAACAAAAACATCTATAACTGGTTGTGATCAATTAGTTGTAAACACCACTGCACTCAGACCAGCCTAATTGGGAAGATTTTGAGGATATGCTGTGGTCTGATGGGTTCCAAGGCAGAGGTGACAGTAACCTGGAAGAGGGAGACTGCTTAGGCAGTGGCATCCTGGTGGGATAGGGTGAGGAGATCCCAGAGCCCACGTTTACTGCAACCCTGGGGAAATGTCACCAGAGAAATGGAGGTGGTGCCAGACAATAGATTGTGGGAGCTATGGTTTCCATGGTAGAGTAGAAGCATCCACCATCTGTGACATTCAGCAGATGGGGCGCTGTGGGTGGCTTGGAGCACTCTGGTTGTAACTGAGGCAGGCACAGTGTTTAGGAAGCCTGTGCAGTAATCCAGGCTGAAGGGAGGGGAACGCCTAGACTAACATTGTGGCTGTGGGATTGAAATAGTGTTGAAGGAGCTGACTTTGACTCCCGGAGATGAAGGGGAAAGAGGAAATCAGAAGGGACCAAGGATGGTGAAGTTCTTAAGAGAAACTGAGGAGGAAGAGAGGATGATGTGGTGGGAGACGTGTAGAGAGTCCTTGTAGATCTGTCACATTGAAGGGGACTATGGTCCCAGAGGTACAGATGTCCTAAAACAGGCTGGAAAAGGGAGTCTGGAGAGAGCTTGGTGTTGTAATGAACCATGGGGAGCCGCCTCGTTGGCCCTGTGATTACCCAGGAACTGAATAGAGAGGGGGCCCTGGGAGACCTCAGACACTTAGAGGATATAAGGGGGTGAAAGGGGGGACCTGGCTTTGAGTCGAAGGGAGGAGAAGGAGATTATATAGCTGAAACGTCTAAGAGAATTTGTGATCTGAGCGTTTCTACTGGGGCAAGTGCTTCTGAAAGGCAGAGGCGGCTGAGATCTGGAAACAGGTCTGCAAATCTGGTCACTGGTCTCATTGCAGTAACGCTGTGCGCGGTTGAGGGAGTGTATTGGGAGAAAAACCACGCGTTGTCTGTCCCGGAAGGAACAAGCCAGTGAGAGCCGGCCTGATGGGAGGACCGGCGAAAGGGGCTTGGTGAAGCCCGCGCTCCTTGGGGGTGGGAATGCGGGGATGGGGTGGTCGCGATGCAGGGAGGGCGACAGGGTCCAGGTCGTGCTCATAAGGTTGGAGCTGTACTCTCAGCTACTCGGGGCTGGTCCTTGATTTTGGCTGCGCTCGCGCACGCTCCACCTTTTCTGGCCGCCAGGTCCCGCCTTCTAAATTTCCCCAGGTCTCCAGGCCGCTAGAATTTTCTCTTCTGAACGTGGCCCCGCCCTCTCCATTCATGATTGGCCCTAAGTTCCGGGCCTCAGTTTTCACTGGATAAGCGGTCGCTGAGCGGGGCGCAGGTGACTAAATTTCGACGGGGTCTTCTCACCGGTTTCATTCAGTTGGCCACTGCTGAGCAGCTGAGAAGGTGGCGACGTAGGGGCCATGGGGCTGGGCCGGGTCCTGCTGTTTCTGGCCGTCGCCTTCCCTTTTGCACCCCCGGCAGCCGCCGCTGGTGAGTGGGGTTCCTGGCGGTCCCCGGCGGAGCGGGAGCGGCGGGGCGTTTCCGGGGGTCCGGGTGGGTTGCCGCGAGCGCTGTGCGGTCAGGGCGGGGCTCAGGTGTGCTGTCTGGAGTGCAGGGAGCTGGACGCCGCCTGTTCCCGCCACACCTCAGCCCTGCTTTCCCATCTCCCGTCTCTTTTTTTTTTTTTTTTTTTTTTTTTCTTTCTGAGACGGAGTCTCTGTTGCCCAGGCTGGAGTGCAGTGGCGCGATCTTGGCTCACTGCAAGCTCCGCCTCCCGGGTTCACGCCATTCTCCTGCCTCAGCCTCCCTAGTAGCTGGGACTACAGGCGCCCGCCACCACGCCCGGCTAATTTTTTGTGTTTTTAGTAGAGATGGGGTTTCACCGTGTTAGTCAGGATGGTCTCGATCTCCTGACCTCGTGATCCGCCCGCCTCGGCCTCCCAAAGTGCTGGGATTACAGAGGTGAGCCACCGCGCCCGACCTCCCGTCTCCTTTCAGTCCTCCTCGGGATCGCGCATCACCCGCATTTTCTGGTCTCCTCCTGCACTTGCTCTCCTCGCCTCTCCTCCGTCTCCTCTCACTTTTCGGACAAACCAGTCCTTCTGAGGCCCCTGGGTTCCCGGGCTGCTCCTGTGAATGGCATTGGAAGGCCGTTCCAGCGCGGCCGCTGAGGCAGCCACTTCCCCCGGTGCTGGGGGCGGATCTCAGCTCCCTGAAGTCCTGTCCTCTCCCGGAGCCGATGTGTTCTCAGCTCCTGGGCCGCAGCTCCTGGAGTTGGGGCCCTCCTTTCTTGGGACCCGGAGGTGGTGCTTCTTGCTGCTGTGGGGACTGTGGGGGGTCCTGACTCTCAAGCTGAGGGGTTGGAGTCTGCAGGCTCCGGGCAGAGGATTCTTCCTGCGACTTCTGTCATCCCCAGCTCATTCTCCCCTCGCCTCCGGCTCCGGGGGTCCTCTCCTCTCTCGCATCCCACCCCTACTAATGACCAATGATCTAAGGACACCAGATTCCCTCTCACCTCCTCCCTGCCCATCTTACGGCGCCCTGGGTCCTGTTGTTCTCCCAGCTCCCTGCTACCCCTTCCTGTGTGCTGTTCTCTGATCCATTTCTAGGGTGTCCTCTGCCTTCATCCCCCGCCCCCGCCACTGAAGGTCCCTCCTGCCTCCTTTATGGGCCTTTCCTGCAAGCAGCCTTCACTCCGTGCTGCCCCTATGCCTCCCCATTCCCAAATGTCCCTGACTCTAACTTTCTGGTGCTGCCTTTTGTCCGGGGGGGGTCTTCCCTCCATCCCACTCCCCTCCAGACCCCCAAGGAGAGCCCTGATGCTAATGGCAGTTGGGCCTTAGGCAGGGCGCAGGGCAGCGCAGATGCCCCCTCCCCTCCAGTGCAGGTGCCTGCTCTGGGCCCTGCCTCATTGTGGCCCCTTCCCCACTCCTTCATCCTCAGCCTCACCCTCTTGAGGACCCCACCCTCCAGCCCACAGATGCTGGACCATCCCTCCCTGGTCCCTCCGCCCCTCTCCACCTTGGGACCTTGTGCTGCTCCTGTCTCTTGCCCAGCTGCCTGGGGCCCTCAGCAAGTTCTCATCTTTCAGTGGGAAAGTGGGAGTGCTGGAGCATATGACAGTGCTGAGAATCTTTCCCAAGCCCCACCCTCCCCCAGAGCACCCTCCCCTCCTGTCCTCACCCTACCCCAAGTTCTCCCACAGTCACTCCTGCCCCATGCTCATGCCGCCCTCCAGTTCTTGCTCTGCCCATCTCCCCTCCCCAACCCAGACCTAAAACAGGCTGTTGGGCCAGCTGTTCCTTGACCTTCCTTCTTTTCTTTTGGTTCCTTGACCCCAGTGGGCTCTCACTCCCCACACCGCATATCTAAAATCTGTTTTGCCTGCTCTTGGGGTGCCACTGCTCCCCCTCCAGCATTACTCCTTTTGGCAGGTCCTTCCTCAGGCTGAGAATCTCCCCCTCCACCTTGGTTTTCTCTCTCTGGCCAGCACCCCCACCCCTTGCTTTGTTTTTAATTTTTAACTTTTGTGTGGGTACGTAGTAGATATGTATGTATATATTTATGGGGTACATGGGATATTTTGACACAGGCCTACAATATGTCATAATCACATCAGGGTAAATGGGTTATCTATCACAACAAGCATTTATCCTTTCTTTGTGCTACAAACAATCCCATTATGCTCTTTCAGTTATTTTTAAATGTACAATAAATTATTGTTGGCTGTACTCACCCTGCTGTGCTATCTACTAGATCTTATTCATTCTAACTATATTTTTGTACCCATTAACCATCCGCACTCCCCCACTCCCCACTACCCTTCTCAGCCTCTGGTAATCGTCATTCTATTGTCTCTCCCCATGAGGTCCATTGTTTTAATTTTTGGCTGCCACAAATAAGTGAGAACATGCAAAGTTTGTCTGTCTGGGCCTGGGGCTTATTTCACTTCACATGATGACCTCCAGTTCTTTGCAAATGACATGGTGGCTGAATAGTACTCCACATACACGTGTGCACCACATTTTCTTTCTCCATTCGTCTGTTGATGGACACTTAGGTCGCTTGCAGATCTTGGCTATTTTGAATAGTGCTGCAATAAACATGGAAAAGTAGATAGCTCTTTAATATACCGATTTCCTTTCTTTTGGGTATATGCCTAACAGTGGGAGTGCTGGAGCATATGACAGCTCTGTTATATTTTTAGTTTTTGGAAGAACCTCCACATTATTTCCCACAGTGGTTATACTAGTTTACGTTCCCACCAACAGTGTACAAGGGTTCTCTTTTGCTACATCCTCGCCAGGATTCCTTATTGCCTGTCTTCTGGATAAAAGCCAGTTTATCTGGGGTGGGATGATATCTCGTAGGAGTTTTGATTTGCCTTCATCTGATGACGAATGATGTTGAGCACCTTTTGATATACCTGTTTGCCATTTGTATGTCTTCTTTTGAGAAATGACTATTCAGATCTTTTGCTCATTTTTAAGTTGGATTATTAGATATTTTTCCTATAGAGTTGTTTGAGATCCTTATATGTTTTGGTTACTAATCCTTTGTCAGATGAATAGTTTGAAAATATTTTCTCCCATTCTTGGATGGTCTCTTCACTTTGTTTATTGTTTCCTTTGCTGTGCAGAAGCTTTTTAACTTGATATGATCCCATTTATGCATTTTTACTTTGGTTGCCTGTGCTTGTGGGGTATTACTTAAAAAATCTTTGCCAGTCCAATATCTTAGAGAGTTTCCCCAATGTTTTCTTTTATAGTTTTCATAGTTTGAGGTCATAGATTTACATCTTTAATACTTTTTGATTGGATTTTTATATGTGGTGAGAGATATGGTCCAGTTTCATTCTTCTGCATAAGGATATCTAGTTTCCCCAGCACCATTTATTGAAGAGACTCTCCTTTGCCCTGTATGTGTTCTTGGTAACTTTGTTAGAAATAACTTCACTGTAGATATATGGATTTGTTTCTGGGTTCTCTATTCTGTTTCATTGGTCCGTGTGTCTGTTTTTATGCCACTACCATGCTGTTTTGATTACTCTAGCTCTGTAGTATAATTTGAAGTCAGATAATGTGATTCCTCTAGTTTTGTTCTTTTTGCTCAGGGTAGCTTTATCTATTCTGGGTTTTTTGTGATTCCATATACATTTTAGGATTGTTTTTCTATTTCTGTGAAGAATGTCATTGGTGTTTTGATAGCAATTGCATTGAATTTGTAGATTGCTTTGGGTAGGATGGATATTTTAACAAAATTGATTCTTCCGGCTGGGCACGGTGGCTCACTCCTGTAATCCCAGCACTTTGGGAGGCCGAGTCAGGTGGATCACTTGAGATCAGGAGTTCAAGACCAGCCTGATCAACATGGAGAAACCCCGCCTCTACTAAAAATACAAAATTAGCCAGGCGTGGTGGCATATGCCTGTAATCCCAGCTACTCAGGAAAGCTGAGGCAGGAGAATCGCTTGAACCCAGGAGGCAGAGGTTGTGGTGAGCTGAGATTGCACCATTGCACTCCAGCCTGGGCAACAGGAGCAAAACTCCATCTCAGAAAATAAAAATAAACATTGATTCTTCCAGTCCATGAACATGGAATGCCTTTTCCATTTTTTGTGTCCTCTTCAATGTTTTGCATCAGTGCTTTATAGTTTTTATTGGAGAGATCTTTCACTTCTTCAGTTAAGTCTATTCCTAGGTATTTTATTTGATTTGTAGCTAATGAAAATGGGATTCGTTTCTTGATTTCTTTTTCAGATTATTTGCTGTTAGCACATAGAAATGCTATTGATTTTTGCATGTTGATTTTGTATCCTGCAACTTTACTGAATTTGTTCTTCAGTTCTAATAGTTTTTTGGTGGAGTCTTTAGGTTTTCCAAATATCAGACCACATGATGTGCAAACAAGGATAATTTGACTTCTTCTTTTCCAATTTTGATGCCCTTTATTTCCTTCTCCTGTCAGATTGCTCTAGCTAGGACTGGCAGTATTGTGTTGCATAACTGTAGTGAAAGTAGTCATCCTTGTCTTGTTCCAGATCTTAAAGAAAAGGCTTTCAGTTTTCCCCCATTCAGTATGTTACTAGCTGTGAGTTGTCATATATGGCTTTTATTATATTGAGGTCTGTTCCTTGTATACTCAGTTTTTTTAGAGTTTTTATCATGAAGGGATGTTAAACTTATCAAATGCTTTTTCAGTATCAATTGAAATGGTGATATGGCTTTTGTCCTTTATTCTGTTGATACGATGTATTACATTGATTGATTTGTGTATGCATACCTGGAATACATTCCACTTGGTCATGAAGAATGAACTTTTTAATATACTGTTGAATGTGGTTTGCTAGTATTTCATTGATGATATTTGCCTCAATGTTCATCAGGGATATAGGCCTGTAGTTTTCTTTTTTTGATGTGTCTTTGCCTGATTTTGATATCAGGATATTCCTGGCTTTGTAAAATGAGTTTGGAAGTATTCCCTCCTCCTCTGTTTTTCAGAACAATTTGAATAGGACTGATATTTCTTGTTCTTTAAACGTTTAATTGTGGTAAATTATACATTACATAAATTTTACTGTTTTAACCACTTTTAAGTGTATACTCGGTGGCATTAGATACATTCACATTTTTGTGCAACCCAAAACTCTGTACCCATTAATCGGTAACTCCCCATTCCTCCCTACCTCTGGCCCCTGGTAACCATCATTCTACTTTTTGTTTCTATGAATTTGACCACTCTAGGTACCTCATTTAAGTAGAATCGTGTAATGTTTGTCTTTTTGATTCTGGCTTATTTCACTTATAATATTTCGAGGTTCATCCAGGTTGTAGTATGGGTCAGATTTTCATTCCTTTTAATGATGAATAATACTCATTATATGTATGTGCCACATCTTGGTTATCCATTCCTCGGACAATGGACACTTGGGTTACTTCTACCTTTTGGATATTGGCAAATATTTCATTTCTCTTGGGTATATATTTATTTCTTTTGAGTATTTCTTTTGGGTATATATCCAGAAATAGAATTGTTGGATCATACGGTATTTCATTTTTTAATTTTTAGAGGAATCACCATAGTGTTTTCCATTGCAGGCGTGCCATTTTGTATTTCTAGAAGCAGTATACAGGGGCTTCAGTTTCTCTACCTCCTTGCCAAACTTGCTGTTTGTGTGTGTGTGTGTGTGTGTGTGTATGATAATAGCCACCCTGATTGGTTTGAAGTGGTATCTCGTTGTGGTTTGGATTTGCATTTTCCTAATAAGTACTGATATTGAGCATCTTTTCATGTGTTTATTGATCATTTGTATATTTTCTTTGAAGAATTGGCCATTGAAGTCTTGCCCATTTTTCTCCCCCACATAGCTTCTCATGGCTATTTTGCCCATTTTTGAGTGGGTTGACTGTTTTGTTGTTTTTGTCAAACTTTTTTGCATATTCTGGAAACTAATCTCTCTCTTTTTCTTTTTTTTTTTTTTTTTTTTTTTTTGAGATGGAGTCTTGCTCTGTTGCCCAGGCTGGAGTGCAGTGGCACGATCTCAGCTCACTGTAAGCTCCGCCCGCTAGCTTCATGCCATTCTCCCACCTCAGCCTCCCGAGTAGCTGGGACTACAGGCGCCCGCCACCATACCCGGCTAATTTTTTGTATTTTTAGTAGAGATAGGGTTTCACCATGTTAGCCAGGATGGTCTCAATCTCCTGACCTGGTGATACACCCGCCTCGGCCTCCCAAAGTGCTGGAATTACAGGCTTGAGCCACCACGCCTGGCCTTCTGGAAACTAATCTCTTATCAGATATATGACTTGCAATATTTATTTCATTTCAGGGGTTGATTGCTTTCTCACTCTGATTGTGCCCTTTGATGCACAGATATTTTGAATTTTTCATGAGTCCAGTTTGTCAGTTCTTTCTATTCTATCTGTGCTTTGGCGTCATATCCATGAAAGCACTGTCAAACCCTATGTCATGAACATTATACCCAATGTTTTTTTCTAAGATATTTTTATGTTTTAGTTCTTGAGTTTAGAGTTTAGGTCTTTGATTCATTTTGAGTTAATTTTTGTATATAGTACAAATTAAGGGTCCAATTTTATATTATTTGAACATCCAGTTCCCCCAGCACTATTTGCTGAAAAGATGGACTTACTCTTTGAGACCCTGTCACCTGCCCACCCCAGTGGACACTAGCTGTTCCATCCAATTGCTGTCCTGGGGCCTTGTCATGCCACTCTTCCACTTTGGACCCAAGCCCACACCGTTGCTCCCCTCTGGGATACTGACCCCACTATAAACTTCTCTAGGGCTACAACCTTCCTACCCCTTGTGCCTCATGACCACCCCCTCCCTTGTCCCCACCATGCCCATGATGAGTCTTTTCTCAAGGCAGCTCCCCTTGCCTCCATCTCACCCTCACCTGTGCACCACAGCCACACTGGACATGGGTCCCTCTGAGCCTGAGTCCCTTCCCATTCCCACTGTCCCCTCTGGCAAGACCTTCCTTCCACCACTGCCTTCATGCTCCTCCCTTGCCCCTGCAGGGCAGCCTCTCCCCTTGGCCCCTATTCCCTTAGGGGGCTTGTGGCCACCCAGTCCTGGCACCTGACCTACAAGTTTGCCATCTTCATTCCCCCTTCTTCTGTTCATCAGCCCCCTCCTCTATCCTCCCACCCTCACAGTTTTCCTTGTATATGAAATCTTCGTTCTTGTCCTTTTGCCCATGTGCATTTCCTGCCTCCTCAGGGAGGTCGGGACAGCAGACCTGTGTGTTAAACATCAATGTGAAGTTATTTCCAGGAAGAAGTTTCACCTGTGATTTCCTCTTCCCCAGAGCCCCACAGTCTTCGTTACAACCTCATGGTGCTGTCCCAGGATGGATCTGTGCAGTCAGGGTTTCTCGCTGAGGGACATCTGGATGGTCAGCCCTTCCTGCGCTATGACAGGCAGAAACGCAGGGCAAAGCCCCAGGGACAGTGGGCAGAAGATGTCCTGGGAGCTAAGACCTGGGACACAGAGACCGAGGACTTGACAGAGAATGGGCAAGACCTCAGGAGGACCCTGACTCATATCAAGGACCAGAAAGGAGGTGAGAGTCGGCAGGGGCAAGAGTAATGGGAGGCCTTCTCCAGGAAAGTTGGAGACAGAGAGCAGGGACCTGTCTCTTCCCGCTGGATCTGGCTGGGGGTGGGGATGAGGAATAGGGTCAGGGAGGCTCAGCAGGGTGGTGAGCCGGAACTCAGCCCACACAGGGAGGCATGGAGGAGGGCCAGGGAGGGGTCGCCGCTGGGCTGAGTTCCTCACTTGGGTGGAAAGGTGATGGGTTCGGGAATGGAGAAGTCACTGCTGGGTGGGGGCAGGCTTGCATTCCCTCCAGGAGATTAGGGTCTGTGAGATCCATGAAGACAGCAGCACCAGGGGCTCCCGGCATTTCTACTACGATGGGGAGCTCTTCCTCTCCCAAAACCTGGAGACTCAAGAATCGACAGTGCCCCAGTCCTCCAGAGCTCAGACCTTGGCTATGAACGTCACAAATTTCTGGAAGGAAGATGCCATGAAGACCAAGACACACTATCGCGCTATGCAGGCAGACTGCCTGCAGAAACTACAGCGATATCTGAAATCCGGGGTGGCCATCAGGAGAACAGGTACCGACCCTGGCCAGGGGCTCTACTGTTCCCGCAATTCTGCTAGAGTTGCCTCGCCTCCCAGCTCTGTCCGGGGAAACCCTCCCTGTGCTATGGATGCAGGCGTTTCCTGTTGGCATATTGTGTCCTGATTTGCCTCTCCTGTTAGAGCCATTGGATAAAGACAGTGGGTCTGGGACTGAACTGTCCAGTGTTGTAATCTGGGAAAGCAGTGGGCCCTCTGACAGAAGCCTGAGCCTGGGGTGGGAGTTAGGCAGGAGAGGAAGCCCTCAGGGCCAGGGCTGCCCCCTCTGCCTCCCGGCCTGCCCATCCCGGAGAGTTCCCTCCTGGCCCCATGACCCAGGAGTCCACCCTTGACATCCCCCTCCTCAGCATCAATGTGGGGATCCCAGAGCCTGAGGCCACAGTCCCAAGGCCCATCCTCCTGCTAGCCTGGAGGAATTAGGCCCCAGGGTGAGGACAGACTTACAGAAGGTCCGGGATCTGTGAGGGATTCAGCCAGAGTGAGAACAGTGGAGAGGAGCAGCCCTGTTCCCTGCATCTCCCTTAGAGGGGAGCAGGGCTTCACTGGCTCTGCCCTTTCTTCTCCAGTGCCCCCCATGGTGAATGTCACCTGCAGCGAGGTCTCAGAGGGCAACATCACCGTGACATGCAGGGCTTCCAGCTTCTATCCCCGGAATATCACACTGACCTGGCGTCAGGATGGGGTATCTTTGAGCCACAACACCCAGCAGTGGGGGGATGTCCTGCCTGATGGGAATGGAACCTACCAGACCTGGGTGGCCACCAGGATTCGCCAAGGAGAGGAGCAGAGGTTCACCTGCTACATGGAACACAGCGGGAATCACGGCACTCACCCTGTGCCCTCTGGTGAGCCTGGGGTGACCCTGGAGAGGGTCAGGCCAGGGTAGGAACAGCAGGGACGGCTGTGGCTCTCTGCCCAGTGTATAACAAGTCCCTTTTTTTCAGGGAAGGCGCTGGTGCTTCAGAGTCAACGGACAGACTTTCCATATGTTTCTGCTGCTATGCCATGTTTTGTTATTATTATTATTCTCTGTGTCCCTTGTTGCAAGAAGAAAACATCAGCGGCAGAGGGTCCAGGTGAGAAAAGGGGACAGTTTCTGGAGATGGGAAAGCTCCTTTCTAGGCAGTAGGGTCTCCTCATTGCTCCTGCCCAGACAAGACGTAGGTGACAAGGCTGCTGGAACAGGGGATGGAAGCTGGGGTATTTGGGAGGGGAATGGGAGCTGCATCTCCATCTACACCCATAAGTGCTTCTCAAGCCAGGGCTGGGGCAAGGCCTTCGAATATCCAGCTGTGGCCTCCTCCTGCTGCAAGTGAGGAGTGGGCAGCAGGGAGGGCTGTGGCACCTGCTCTGTCCCCATCCCAGCCTCTCTGTCTCTCGGGCTCACTAGGGTGCGTCCAGGTGGGGTGAGTTGGGAATCACGTGCTGATTGCTGAGGGCCTGGATGATCATGGTGTCAGAGGGAGGAAATAGTAAAGGTGGCTGTGATCTGGGGAGGGCCAGAAACTGGAGAGGAATCCAAGGAGAGGCGGTGCCCACCCGTGTGCCTCCTCCAGGAGGCACTTTCCAGGTTCCCACCACCTGGCCTCCCTGAGTTTCCTTGCAGATGACACAGATGAATAGATAAGCAGATGTCCCTGGGCCATTTGAGGAGCGGGGCCCAGCCCCTCATCAGGGCAGATGTGGTCCCTGTTTTCATCCTACCTCCAGCGTGTTTTCTTCTGCAGTCCCTGAGGGACACAGTCCCCAGGCGCCATCTCTTTGAGGCTTTGTTCTGTGCTCTGTGGCCTTACCTTGCCCTCCCTGAGCCAATTTCCCTTTCTCAAGGTGGTCACTGCCTGGTAAGTTTGGAGTAAGGGACGGTCAGAAGCATTTCCCCCACAGTCAGGTTGTTTGATGGGGGATGAAAAGAGACAGCAGAAGTTTTGTGTTTCTGCAAAAACAGAGGCAGTGCAGGGGACAGTGAGAGGCTGGGGTGTCCAGGAGACCTGAGTCTGGCGGTAGGGGCGCTGGTTTCTCATCCTTGAACCTAATTGCACTGTCAGTCGGCCCCTCATGCCTGAGCAGATGGGAAGGTTCGTCCCCTGCCCTGCAGCAAGAGGGCCCTGTCCAGGAGGCACCCACAGCAGGAGCAGTGCAGGTCTGTGGTCACTCCTGCTCTCACCTGCGGCGTCTCCCGTGGAGGGATTGTCACTTCTGGTTCCCTGTGGGCAGGAATGGTTTCCTCGTAGGTCACTGGGGTTTTGGCCAGGAAAAGGGTATGAAATTCATGTGCCAGTTTATCAAAATTCCTGCTTTCAATGTTGATGTCCAATAAAGATGTTCGTAATTTCAGCTCTATAATCTTAATAGGATTTCCTCTAATACTGCTGTTGTAAAGCATATTAAATAAAACAGGAACTCAAATTTGGAGCCCCCTCTCCAGAAGGGTCTGTGTGGAGATGGTGGCTGTGGCAGCGGCAGTTCCCAGGTGCAGAGGGTGGGCAGAGGCAGCCTCAGGCTAAGGGGTCTCCCCTACTCCACGTGGAGAAAAGTCCTTGTAGGTTGCAAGGGCAGTGGCCTGGGTGGAATCCCTGCTAGGGACAGAGCAGGAAGGCCTCGCAGCCTCACCAAGCAGCAGCTCTGGGGTGAAGTAAGTGGACCAGGAGTAAGTGGACCAGGCAGGAGCAGTAGTGACTCAACAGCAGGTCACAGGCCTAGGTGGGTGCTGAAGGTCATGGGAGGCCAGGCCTCCTCGAGCAAGGTGGGGGGTCCCAGGGTCATGTCAGGTGCAGATCCTGTGGCAGCCATGTCTTTCCATGCTGGGCCTGCTGGGCCCCCCAGGCTTCCTGATGGGGTCCCCAGTTAGGAGCTGCCTGCTCAGGGCTGGGAGGGGAGGAGTGCTGAGCTGCAGATAGAGGGCAGGGCCCACAGTGGGCAGGGCCTGCCCTGGTGTGCAGGTGCCTCTGCAGGAGAGGAGGGCCTGGGGACTGAGAGCAAGGGTCAGGGCCTCTCTTTGGGGAGGCCTCTCACTGTAACAGGACTGGTCAGGCCTGAGAGGAGGGCACTGGGTTCCCTCTTGGGTCTTGTCCTTTTGTCTTGGGGCCCTTTCACTCCCTGCACGGTGAGTGGTGGGCACAGGACAGGGGCTGATGTTGATGGAGTGATGGGAGAGAACTGACAGGGGCTGGGAAAAGCAAGGAGGGAGGAAGAAAAAAGTGGGGGCCTCATCTTCTCTCAGAGAAAGGGTGAATCTGATTTTGGGGCAACTGAAGAGAGAAAAGTCCTTAGGGAATAAACACAACACTGCACCCAGTGGGGCATTTACCCGTTTCCCTCTTCTCCAGAGCTTGTGAGCCTGCAGGTCCTGGATCAACACCCAGTTGGGACAGGAGACCACAGGGATGCAGCACAGCTGGGATTTCAGCCTCTGATGTCAGCTACTGGGTCCACTGGTTCCACTGAGGGCGCCTAGACTCTACAGCCAGGCGGCCAGGATTCAACTCCCTGCCTGGATCTCACCAGCACTTTCCCTCTGTTTCCTGACCTATGAAACAGAAAATAACATCACTTATTTATTGTTGTTGGATGCTGCAAAGTGTTAGTAGGTATGAGGTGTTTGCTGCTCTGCCACGTAGAGAGCCAGCAAAGGGATCATGACCAACTCAACATTCCATTGGAGGCTATATGATCAAACAGCAAATTGTTTATCATGAATGCAGGATGTGGGCAAACTCACGACTGCTCCTGCCAACAGAAGGTTTGCTGAGGGCATTCACTCCATGGTGCTCATTGGAGTTATCTACTGGGTCATCTAGAGCCTATTGTTTGAGGAATGCAGTCTTACAAGCCTACTCTGGACCCAGCAGCTGACTCCTTCTTCCACCCCTCTTCTTGCTATCTCCTATACCAATAAATACGAAGGGCTGTGGAAGATCAGAGCCCTTGTTCACGAGAAGCAAGAAGCCCCCTGACCCCTTGTTCCAAATATACTCTTTTGTCTTTCTCTTTATTCCCACGTTCGCCCTTTGTTCAGTCCAATACAGGGTTGTGGGGCCCTTAACAGTGCCATATTAATTGGTATCATTATTTCTGTTGTTTTTGTTTTTGTTTTTGTTTTTGAGACAGAGTCTCACTCTGTCACCCAGGCTGCAGTTCACTGGTGTGATCTCAGCTCACTGCAACCTCTGCCTCCCAGGTTCAAGCACTTCTCGTACCTCAGACTCCCGAATAGCTGGGATTACAGACAGGCACCACCACACCCAGCTAATTTTTGTATTTTTTGTAGAGACGGGATTTCGCCAAGTTGACCAGCCCAGTTTCAAACTCCTGACCTCAGGTGATCTGCCTGCCTTGGCATCCCAAAGTGCTGGGATTACAAGAATGAGCCACCGTGCCTGGCCTATTTTATTATATTGTAATATATTTTATTATATTAGCCACCATGCCTGTCCTATTTTCTTATGTTTTAATATATTTTAATATATTACATGTGCAGTAATTAGATTATCATGGGTGAACTTTATGAGTGAGTATCTTGGTGATGACTCCTCCTGACCAGCCCAGGACCAGCTTTCTTGTCACCTTGAGGTCCCCTCGCCCCGTCACACCGTTATGCATTACTCTGTGTCTACTATTATGTGTGCATAATTTATACCGTAAATGTTTACTCTTTAAATAGACATTTCTGGTCTGTGTTTTATTTCATGCGTCTGGGAGCGGATAAAGTGTAAGGTTCAGGGAGAAGGAGAGGTCTGTCTCAATGCCTTGACCCAGCATCAAAGCAATCTCCCCTCCTTGTTCCCTTTCCCTGCTAGTTCCCAATGACTGACAGATTCACAGCAGAACAGAAAGGACTGGGAAGGGATGGAGGTGGGACATCTGGCGCCAATATTCAGGGGCTGACTCTGTGAGGGAACATCTGCCCTGAAGAGTTGGAGCCTTCATGTGATGACACAGAGATCTCTGTCACTGTATTCAGGGAAAGGATCAAGCCTCACTCCCCATGCAGGGAGGAGGTTCTGGCTGTGATCCGGCCTGTGGGAGAAGTGAGGACCCGCTCCCTCTACAGTGACAGCCAAGAACCTGCAGGTGACAGAGAAGGCTTCCCCTCAACTGTCTCCTATCAGGTTCTTCCAGGCATCAAGGAATAGACCTGGGACATTGCCTCCAGTGACATGAACACACCCAGAAGTGAGGTGGCCCTGCCAGGGGGTCCTGGTGCTGCCACTTGTTTTGGGAGCTCAGTGTCTGGAGAGGGGTGTGGAGAGTAGGCTTTCTGCAAAACAGTAATCATGACCTATAAATTATTTTATTCTTCATTAGCTTTTTGCCATAAAATAAAACAGGTACCCAAAAAGAAAAACTGTCTGAAAATGTTGCCCTTTAATAATAATAATAAATAATAATAATAAAAGATAAACACCCTTTAACCACCAGAGATATAGAAGTTTGTCAGCCAGCCCAGAAACCATCATTTGCCCCAGCTCAGTGATAAAGGCTTCCCTTCCCCACATAAAATCACAGCCTGACCTTTATGATGATTGCTTCTTTGTTCTATTTTATATTTTCATCCTCTGAAATTGTAGTTTAGTTTTACCTTGGGATGTATAATTTTTGTTCTCTTTTTTCTTTTTTTTTTTTAAGACGGAGTCTCACTCTGTCACCCAGGCTGGAGTGCAGTGGCATGATCTCGGCTCACTGCAAGCTCCGCCTCACGGGTTCATGCGATTCTCCTGCCTCAGCCTCCCGAGTAGCTGGGACTACAGGCGTCTGCCACCACGCCCGGCTAATTTTTTTGTATTTTTAGTAGAGACAGGGTTTCACCATGTTAGCCAGGATGGTCTCAATCTCCTGACCTCATGATCTGCCTGCCTCGGCCTCCCAAAGTGCTGGGATTACAGGCGTGAGCCACCGCACCTGGCCTGTTCTCTTTTTTTCTCTATGCTCCTCCTTGAAATTTTATTGTCTGGCTGAGTTTTCCATAGTTTGCATTTTGCTGGCTCCACCCCAAGGCATAGTTTAATATGGACCTGTTTTATCTGTACTTTCTACAAATTGGTAGTTGGCTACAGAGATTTGCTTATAGACTGACTTGATTTTCTTCTTGAATACTTCATTTATGGCACTCCATTGTATTCTTCCATCAGGAGGAAGAACTTAGTACTGGTTATTTACTTCTACTCTACTTTTAATTGCCATTGCTTTTCAATGGCTAAATCTGTTAATTCGTTATGGGTTGCAAAAGAATTATAGTCTCAGTCTCTCATTCCTTCCCCATTCACTAGCTAAATAATTTCTAAAATAAGAGATTTACCCTTGGCTGGATGCGGTGACTTACGCCTGTAATCCCAGCACTTTGGGAGGCCGAGGCTGGTGGATCACCTGAGGTCGGGAGTTCAAGACCATCCTGACCAACATGAAGAAACTGTGTCTCTACTAAAAACACAAAATTAGCCGGGAGTGGTGGCGCATGCCTGTAATCCCAGCTACTCGGGAGGCGGAAGTAGGAGAATTGCTTGAACCGGGAAGGCGGAGGTTGCAGTGAGCCGAGATGGCGCCATTGCACTCCAGCCTGGGCATCAAGAGTGAAACTCCGTCTCAAAATAAATAAATAAATAAAGTGGAGCACTTGACGGCCATGGGAGAGAATCGGTTATGACCACACACAGCAAGATGATGAGCCCAACAAAGATGATGAGCCCGACTACATGAAAACAACTTCTAATTTCATTCAATCAGAACCAACAGAACTCATCTACAGTGTTAAAAATCAAGACAGTGGCTACTCTAGGGTGGGGGAGGCTGGTTTATGACTCAACGGTGTTTCTTGGAGGGTGAAAATGATGTTGCTTGATGAAGGTGTTGTTTATCTGAGTTTTTACTTGGGCAAAACCCACTGCCCACCTGTGATTTGTCCACCTTTCTACATGCATGTTGTCCTTCATTCAAGTTTACATTTCTGGTGTTTTGAAACAATTCTCTCTAAGCTAATATAGAATTTCTCCTACTCCAAGTCCTTAGAAATGCTGCATTGAAAATACCAGTGAATTTTTTTTTAATTCCAGGAAATAAATGCCCATGACTCAGATATAAAAAGGAGAATCTACAAGAGCAGTAGGCTTGGGAGCTGACACCAGAACAGCTTTGGAAAGGGCTGTCGAGCCAGGAACTAGGAATCAAAACCCAAACAAGACCACAGGAGGTAGAGGGTAGAAATTATGCCCCAGTAGTGCATGAATGAATGAATCAAGGGCAGTGACTCATGGGTTGCCTGGCCAGTCTGGAACTTGGGGAAAATAAAGTTGTAAAATTGGGGGATGGAAGAGAGAAGTGTGCACTGACCACTTTCCATGGGAAGAGCATGTGAAGATAGAGGTTGCATATGGATGCCTGCCAGAGGGTCTCCAAGGGGCTGGGGCTCCCTGTAACCAGGTGAGCGAGATGGCTTGATGGATGATGCCACTCAGCCGCACAAGGCTTGCTCATGAGTCCCTGCACAAAGTGGCCGTGGTGGCTGGGATGGACACTGCATGGACAGAGCAATTGAGTCACCACTCACCAAGGCTGACCTGGCAGCTGCCACTGCTGAGGACCCAGCCTGCCAAAAGCAGCTGTTTCTTTGAACAGAGAAAAAAAACAGACAATGTTAATTAAGAGCAAGACAGTGTTATGACAGATAAATATGCCACTGCAGCTATAGTAGAGATGTAAACAATCTTGAAATTATAAAAAAAAAATGTCGATGGAAAAGACTTACTGCAAGTAAGAAGTTAAAACAGTTGTAAAAATTCTATCTCTGCCCAACTATATACAGATTGTTTCACAGGGAAGTCCTACTAAACCTTCAAAGAAGGTTATTGGACTTATTTAAAATATTCAAGAGAATGGAGCAAAATACAGAAAGCTAGGCAACTCACTTTATCAGCTATGAATAGTGTTAATTCTAAAGCCAGTTAGGGAACAAATAATAAAGAAACAAGATAGGAAAATCACTATTAGTAATTAGATGTAAAATAGATGAGAAAAATAGTAGACTGTGTCCATCAGTGTGCTATAAACAAATTAAATATCTTGACCAAGTTATGAATCCCAAGAATAAAAGAATATTTAAACTTTAAATCTTTTAATGCATTTTAACACTTAATTCAATAATTTAAAAAGAGACAATCATATTTCACTAGATGTAGAAATCACTGTAGATGAAATCTAACACTACACCTGACCTACATTTCTTCAGTTATCTCCACTTTTAAGAATTTGTGATCAGTGCAGCACTATTCACAATAGCAAAGGTAAGGAATCAACCCAGATGCCCATCAACAGTGGAATGGATAAAGAAAACTGCGGCACAGGGCCAGGCGCGGTGGCTCACGCCTGTAATCCCAGCACTTTGGGAGGGTGAGGCGGGCAGATCACGAAGTCAGGAGTTCGAGACCATCCTGGCTAACACAGTGAAACCCCGTCTCTACTAAAAATACAAAAAATTAGCCGGGCGTGGTGGCAGGCGCCTGTAGTCCCAGCTACTCGGGAGGCTGAGGCAGGAGAATGGCATGAACCCAGGAGGTGGAGTTTGCAGTGAGCCGAGATCACGCCACTGCACTCCAGCCTGGGTGACAGAATGAGACTCCGTCTCAAAAAAAAAAGAAAAGAAAAGAAAAGAAAACTGCAGCACTTATACACCATGGTACGCTACCCAGCCAAAAAAACAAGAACGAAATCATGTCCTTCACAGCAACATGGATGGAGGTGGAGACCATTATTCTAAGCAAATTAATGTAGGAACAGAAAGCCAAATACCACATATTCTCACCTATAAGTGGCAGCTAAACATTGAGTACACATGGACACAAAGAAGGGAACAATAGACACTGGGGCCTCCTTGAGGGTGGAGGGTGGGAGGAGGGGGAGGATTAAAAAACTACCTATTGGGTATTGTGCTGATTACCTGAGTAACAAAATTATCTGCACACCAAACACCCGTGATACACAATTTACCCATGTAACAAACCTGAATATGTATCCCTTGAACCTAAAAAATCAAAAAGAAAAAAGTAAAAAAGAATTCCTGATCAGATTGAGCCAGGACAATGGCCGGGCGTGGTGGCTCACGCCTGTAATCCCAGCACTTTGGGAGGCCGAGGCAGGTGGTCAGGGTAGGCCTCTTGGAGGAGCCATGTGAGCAGACTTGAGAAGGAGAGAAACAGCCATGCAGATATTTGAAGGAAGAACCTTCCAGTATCCCACTCTAAGCATACCCAGGACTCTGCTCTGGGGCAGACCCTAAAGCTGCAGTGGAAATGGAGGTGGCCACACTCACAGAGACTGTGGCAGAGAGTGATGGGGATTTGGGTCTCCCCTTCCTGCTGTGGCTGTTAGAAGTGCTGGAGTTGGGGAGGGAAAGGCACTGGCATGTGGAGGAAGACTAGGAGAGGAGGGGAGGCTGAAGTGTGTCCCACTCTCACTCCACCTCTCTGTTCTCTATCTCCTGCATCCGGTGCCTCCCCGACTTCCCCAAAGTTGTGGTCCCTGACAAGGAGGACCCTGAGGGCAACCACACCTTGCCATGTAGAGCACCTGGCTTCTCACTTGCCAACATCACTCTGACCTGGCTGCAGGAAGGGGAGGAGCCAACTCTGGACTCAAGACTCAAGGGGACCAGACCCAGGAAGATGAGACATATCAGGGCTGGGCAGCTGTGGGGGGCCCTCCCAGAGAAGGCCTGAGATACACCTGCCTGCAGGTGCTCCTGGGCCTGGAGAAGCCCCTCAGTGTGACTAGGTGAGGTGTTGTCAGAGGACCAGAGGCTGAGGGTGGGGCGTCCCATCCAGATCCTGCCCCCCTCTCTGCCCCAGCACCCAAGGCCCCTTCCTCCCTCCTCTATGGAGATGCTGGGGATGTCCTCATTCTCCCTCTGAGCACTCACATCTCACCCCTCATCTGTCTCTCTAACCTCCTTCCTTCCTGCTGCAGCTTCTGCCCCAGCCCCAGGCTCTGGCCTCTCTCTCCCCAGTTCCACCCTCCAGGGGGTGATGGTTCACTTCCCTCTGAGGAGCCAGCACTAGGTGAGAGGCTAGGAGAAGGAAAAGCTCATGGGCCATGGGTTGGGAGGGAGAATGGGCACTGAAATGGAAGGGTAGGGAGACAGAAGAGGCAGGTATTTCCAAATCACCATTTTTCTGTCATGGTCCAAGGGTGCCATCCTTCTCCCAGGCCCAGGGATGTGGAAAGAGCAGCAGGAATTGGGAAATACTCCACAGGAAAGAACAATGTGCCTCCTCCCTCCACCGGCTTCTTCCTCTTGTCTATTCTGGTCAATTCTCTAAGTGAATCATGTTACCAAAATGTAAAATGTTTATTTTAGGAAAGTCTCCAAATATTAGGGAATAAAATTACTAGTGCCTAAGCCCTGCATACTGAAAAACAGAAGCTTTAAGAAATAAAGACCTGCATGGAAAATTGCTCATCAACTCGGGGAAGTCAAAGTCTGAGCTGAATCAGCTCTTTTTTTCTTTCTCTTTTTTTTTTTTTTTTCTTTTTTTGAGACGGAGTCTTGCTCTGTCGCCCAGGCTGGAGTGCAGTGGCATGATCTCAGCTCACTGCAACCTCTGCCTCCCCGACTCAAGCAATTCTCCTGTCTCAGGCTCCCAAGTAGCTGGGATTACAGGCATGCGCCACCATGCCCAGCTAATTTTTGTATTTTTCAGCAGAGACGAGGTTTCGCCATGTTGGCCAGGCTGGTCTCAAACTCCTGACCTCAGGTGATCCGCCTGCCTCAGCCTGCCAAAGTTCTGGGATTACAGGCATGAGCCACCATGCCCAGCTGAATCAGCTCTAAAGTGGTGCTGAAGTGAGAGCCATTTATGTGCCTGTGTGAGTTCCCACAGGTCTTGAGACCTCTGTGTCCTCCTTAGAAGAGTGAAGTGAGCACCCAGTGCCTAGACCTTGGTTGTGCTAAGTCATTCTCTGATAAAAGGATTCAGGGCTCCATAGAAAAACAGCTGATTCTAGGGCTGGCATAGGAAAAATATAAGGTGAGCCTGGAACATCTTGTAATGCCAGAAAGTAACCGCCACCCATCTCCCAACCCTCACCACCAAAAAATAAGGGCATGTCAGAGGGACACAGGAGTCAGCCTGAAAGAGCTCCCTATGGACAAAGCCGGAATAATCCGAGCAACAAAGTTACAATAGTATTGGATTATGACCCAAAATATAAATAAATATTCATTCCACACTGATTTATTTAATCAAAAATAATTAAATAAATAAATAGGGAAGAAGGGGCAAATCTTCCTTACAGAAGAATTTCAAAACATATATTACGAGAATCTCTTTCCCAGGAGATTGGAATTTTATTTCTCTCACCTTGAATATGGGCTGGACTTGCTGACTTGCTTCCAAAGACTAGAGTATGAAAAAGGAAAAATAATAACTTTACAGTGGAGAAATGTAGCAGACACTACCAAGCAATCAGAGTCATGTTAACATCTTGCCCCCCAGAAATGATGTGATGAGGACACTCCCCTCTATGGTATTCTTCCCTTAAACCCATAACCCCAATCTAATCATAAGGAAGCATCAGGCAAACCCAAAGTGAGGGACATCCTACAAATTATCTATCCAGTATTCTTCAAAACTTTCAAGGTCATGAAAACAGGTAAAGACTGAGAAACTCATGATCAGAAAGACTAGGGAGACCCAAAAGCTAAATGCATTAATGGGCCCTGGAAAAACTGGTGAAGTCCAAATAAAGTCTACAGTTTAGCGAATAGTATTATAGCAATGTTAATTTCTTAGTTTCTTAGTCTTGACAGAATTTTGTTAGATGTTAACATTAAGGAAAGCTGGGGTTTATGGAAACTCTGTGTTCTAGCTTTGCAACTCTTTAAATCTATTATTGTTATTGTTATTGGGTTTTTTTGTTTGTTTTGTTTTTGTTTTTTTTTGAGATGGAGTCTCGCTCTGTCGCCCAGGCTGGAGTGCAATGGCGCGATCTCAGCTCACTGCAACCTCCACCTCCTGGGTTCAAGCAATTGCCCTGCCTCAGCCTCCCCAGTAGCTGGGATTCCAGGCACCCATCACCATGCTCGGCTAGTTTTTGTATTTTTAGTAGAGATGGGGTTTCGCCATGTTGGCCAGGGTGGTCTCGAACTCCCGACCTCAGGTGATCTGTCCGCCTCGGCCTCCCAAAGTTAAATCTATTATTATTCAAAACAAATTTAACTAAAAGTGAAATGAAGCTAGGTACAGTAGCTCATGCCTGTAATCCCAGCCCTTTGGGAGGCCAATTTAAGCCCAGGAGTTTGAGAGAAGCCTGGGCAACATAGTGAGACCTTGTCTTATAAAAAAAATTAATTTAAAAAATGAAATGAATAGACATATATTAAATTAAATCGATAATTAATAACATTCAGAAACAGAAAACATCAGCCCCAAATGGGTTTACTGATAAATTCTATCAAACATTTAAGGAAAAAATTATACCAATTTTCTATAATCTCTTCCAGAAGACATACTTTCTTTTGTTGTTGTTGTTATTCAGTGTTAATTTCATAATCATAAACTTAATGCTGCAATCCAGCTAGGCATGGAAGGGAACAAGGAAAACATGAAACCCAAAGGGAACTGCAGTGAGAGCACAAAGATTCTAGATACTGCGAGCAGATGGATGGAGGGTGCTCTCCTGAGCTACAGAAGCAATGGTCTAGTGGTTAAGATAAAACACAAGTCAGGCCGGGCGCGGTGGCTCACACCTGTAATTCCAGCACTTTGGGAGGCTGACGCAGGTGGGATCACCTGAGGTCAGGAGTTCAAGACCAGCCTGACCAACACGGAGAAACCCCGTCTCTACTAAAAATACAGAATTAGCCAAGTGTGGTGGCGCATGCCTGTAATCCCAGCTACTCGGGAGGCTGAGGCAGGAGAATCGCCTGAACTCAGGAAGCAGAGGTTGCAGTGAGCCGAGATGGCGCCATTGCACTCCAGCCTGGCAACAAGAGCGAAACTTAGTCTCAAAAAAAAACACAAGTCAAACTTAGTCAAGTTGTGTACAGTCAGCGATGGTGATCTTCTTGATGGTCTTGCCATTCCCAGACCCAAAGTGCTCCATGGCCTCCACAATATTCATGCCATCTTTCACCTTGCCAAAGACCATGGGCTTGCCATCCAACCACTCAGTCTTGGCAGTGCAGATGAAAAACTGGGAATTGCCCGGGCTAGGTGGCTCATGCCGTAATCCCAGCACTTTGGGAGGCCGAGATGGGCAGATCACCTGAGGTCAGGAGTTCAAGACCAGCCTGACCAACATGGTGAAACCCCGTCTCTAATAAAAATACAAATATTAGCCAGGCATGGTGGTGCATGCCTGTAATCCCAGCTACTCAGGAGGCTGAGGCAGGAGAATTGCTTGAACCTGGGAGGCGGAAGTTGCAGTGAGCCAAGATCGCGCCACTGCACTCCAGCCTGGGCGACAGAGTTAAGACTCCATCTCAAAAAAAAGAGAAAAAAGAAAAACCGGGAATCATTTGTGTTGGGTCCAGCATTTGCCATGGACAAGATGCCAGGACCTGTATGCTTTAGGATGAAGTTCTCATCATCAAATTTCTCCCCGTAGATGGACTTGCCACCAGTGCCATTATGGCGTGTGAAGTCACCACCCTGACACATAAACCCTGGAATAATTCTGTGAAAGGAGGAACATTTATAATCAAATCCTTTCTCTCCAGTGCTCAGAGCACGAAAGTTTTCTGCTGTCTTTGGAAACTTGTCTGCAAACAGCTTGAAGGAGACACAGCCCAAGGGCTCACCATTGACAGCGATGTTGAAGGACACGGTGGGGTTGACCATGGCTGATAGTATGGGGCTCCTGATGGTGGCGTCTGCAAAGCCAAGACAGACACTTTCTATCTCATTTCATGAGGCCAGGATTCCATGAGGGAATACTTTCTAACTAATTCCATGAGGCCAGCATTAGCCAAATACCAAAATCAGATGAAGACTTCACAAAAAAAGAAAACCACAGACCAATATCTCTCATGAACATAGGTGCAAAAATCCTCAGCAAAATGCTAGCAAATCAAATCCACAATGTATGAGAAGAACAATACACCATGCCTAAGTAAGATTTATCCCAGGTATGCAAAGTTACTTCAACATTGGAAAATCAGTTAATGTAATCCATTAAATCAACTGGCTAAAGAAGAAAATCACATGATCATATCAATAGAGGCAGAAAAAGCAATTGACAACATCCAACACCCATTCATGATGATTAAAAAAAAAAAATCTCTTAGCAAGCTAGGAATAGAGAAGACCTTACTCAACTTGATAAACAACATCCACAAAACATCCACAGCTAACATCACACTTAATGGTGAGAAACTAAAAGCTTGCCTGCTAAGATCAGAACAAGGCAGGAATGACCCTCTCAACACAGCTTTTCAACGTTGTACTGGAAGTCCTAGCTAAAGTAGTAAGACAAGAAAAGGAACTAAAAGGTATACAAATTTGGAACAAGAAATAAAACTGTCTTTGTTTACAGATGATATGATTGTCTATGTAGAAAATCAAAAAGAATCCACACATAAAAAACTCCTGGAACTAACAAGCAATTATAGCAAGGTTGCAGGATATAAAGTTAATATGTAAAAGCCAATCATTTTTCTATGTATCAGCAATGAGCATGTAGAATTCGCCATTTAATTTTTTTTTTTCAAGACGGAGTCTTGTTCTGTCGCCCAGGCTAGAGTGCAGTGGCGCGATCTCAACTCACTGCAACCTCCTCCTCCCAGGTTCAAGCAATTCTCCTGCCTCAGCCTCCTGAGTAGCTGGGATTACAGGTGTGCCCCACCATGCCCAGCTAATTTTTGTGTTTTTAGTAGAGACGGGGTTTTACCATGTTGGCCAGGCTGATCTCGAACTTCTGACCTCATGTTCTGCCTGCCTCAGCCTCCCAAAGTGCTGGGATTACAGGCGTGAGCCACCGTGCCTGGTCCAGAATTTGCCATTTAAAACACAATACCACTTACATTAGCACCCCCAAAAATGAAACACTTAGGTACAAATCTAAGAAAATATGTACAAGATCTATATGAACAAAACTACAAAACTGACAAAAGAAATCAAAGAACTAAACAAATGGAGAGATATTCCATGTTCATAGTCAGGAAGGCTCAATACTGTTAATATATCTGTTCTTTCCAACTTGATCTGTGGAATGAATGCAATCTCAATAAAAAACCTCAGTAAGTTATTTTGTGGATATTAACAAACTGATTCAAACTTTATATGGTGAGGCAAAAGACCTAGCCAGCACAATATAGGAGAAAAATAAAGTCAAAGACCACCACTACCTGACTTAGACTTTCTATAAAGCCATAGTAATCAAGACAGAGTGGTGATTAGCATAGCCATTGTGGGAAACAGTATGGAGGTTCTGCAAAAATTTTAAAAATAGAAATACCACATGATCCAGCAATCCCACTAATGGGTATATATCCAAAGGATACGAAATCAGTACGTTGAGATATTTGCACTCCCATATTCATTGCATCATTATTCTTTTTTTTTTTTTTTCCTTTAGAGATAGAGTCTATGTTGCCCAGGGCAACTCCTGGCCTCAAGCGATCCTGCTGTCTCAGCTTCCCAATTATCTGGGATTATAAGCACGAGACACTGCACCTGGCTGCAGCATTATTCTCAATAGCCAAGATATAGAATCCACCTAAGTGTCCATCAATGGATGAATGGATAAAGAAAATGTGGTATATATAAAAAATGGAATACTATTCAGCCTTAAAAAACAAAATCCTGTCATTTGTGACAACATGGATGAACCTGGAAGACATTATGTTAAGTGAAATAAGCCAGGCACAGAAAGACAAATACAATCTCACTTATATGTGGAGTATAGAAAAAGCCAGACTCATAAATAGAGAGTAAACTGGTGGTTATCAGAGGCTGGGAGGTCGGGGAATTGGGGAGATGTTAGTCAAAGAACACAAGATTTCAGTTAGGAAGAATAAGTTCAAGAGATCTATTGTACCTTATGGTGACTAAACTTAATAACAACATATTGTGTATTTCAAAATAGTATGAGAATAGCTTTAAGCATTCTCATCACATACACACAAAATATGTATGTGAGGTAATGTACATATTATTAAATTGTTTGGTTTATCCATTCCACAATGTGTGTGTATGTATGTGCATATATATATAAACATGATGTACACCACAAATGTATAAAATTAGTCAATCAAAAAATTAATTTTAGAAAGACAGAGTGGCATTGGCAAAGAATAGACAAATTGATCCACTTGAGCAGAATAGAGAGCCAAGAAATAGTCCCACATAAATACAAGGAGCAAAGACAATACAATAAAGATAGTCTTTTCAGCAAATGCTGCTGGAACAACTGGACAGCTATGTACAAGAAAAATGAAAAGAGCTCTCTTAAAAGGTTACTGTGAAAGCCACCTGTGACAGTAACAGAAAGTGCCCAGCAGGGTCTCTGACACTTAGTAATGTAATCTCTCTCACTGTAATGTAATGGCTAAACTTCAACATCCCTCAGCCCCCATCTCCATAAGACTTTCCCATAGAGGCAACAATGATTCCTGTCAGTCACCCAGTCCTGCCAATCCACTGGGTAGGATACAATATTGAGGGGCCCATCAGCACACTGGCCTTAGGGGGCTCTGCAGCCCCTTGACCTTGTGGATGATGCTGGCCTTAATCTCCTCTTGTCCGTGGCTAAAGACAGGCCCCTTCTGCGGAGACCAGGCCAGAATGCTCATCTGATTAAGACTCTATATTAAGAGTCAGGAATAACAAAAACAACAATAAATAAATAAACACAGTAACATAATCTATGTGTCTTAGTCCGTTTCCTGCCGCTATAACAGAATACTACAGACTGGGTAATTTATTTTGTTGTTTTTTCAGACAGGGTCTCTCTCTGTCGCTCAGACTGGAGTGCAGTGGCATGATCTCAACTCACTGCAACCTCCACCTCCCAGACTCAAGTGATCCTCCCACCTCAGCCTCCTAAATAACTGGGACCACAGACCCGCACGACCACACCAGCTAATTTTTGTGTTTTTTTGTAGAGATGGGTTTTGCCATGTTGCCCAGGCTGGTCTCAAACTCCTGGGCTCAAGCCTTCCACCCACCTTGGCCTCCCAAAGTGCTGGGATTACAGGCTTGAGCCACCACACCCAGCACAGACTGGGTAATTTATAAAGACAATAAATGTTTTTCCCACAGAGCTGGAGGCTGAGAAGTCCAAGAGCATGACACTGGCATCTTATGAGGGCCTGGCTGCAGTATCATCCCATAGTGAGAGGTGGAAGGGCAAAGAGGCTGAACTGATTTCTATCATGCCATACAATGGCATTAATCTATTCAATCTAATCAACCCTGAAAGGTCCCACATCGGCTGGGCACGGTGGCTCATGCCTGTAATCCCAGCACTTTGGGAGGCCAAGGCAGGTGGATCACCTGAGGTCAGGAGTTCAAGACCAGCCTGACCAATATGATGAAACCCCGTCTCTACTAAAAATACAAAAATTAGCTGGGCGTGGTGGCATGTGCCTGTAATTCCAGCTACTCAGGAGGCTGAGACAGGAGAATCACTTGAACATGGGAGGCGGAGGTTGCAGTGAGCTGAGATTGTGCCATTGCACTCCAGCCTGGGCAACAAGAGCGAAACTCCATCTCAAAAAAAGAAAAAAAAAAAGTCTTGCATCTTAATACCATTAGGATAGCAATTAAATGTCAACATGAGTTTTGGTGGGGACATTCCACTTTTGCACTAGGTATTCTGGTTTATGTATTTTTTTAGCTTAATTCCTTCATTTCTACAATTATGAGATCCACGATTATCCACTATATTTGGTTTTCTTTCTTTTTGGTTTTGTTTTTTGTTTTTTGAGACAAGAGTCTCGCTCTGTCGCCAGGCTGGAGTGCAGTGGCATGATCTCAGCTCACTGTAACCTCTGGCTCCCGGGTTCAAGTGATTCTCCTGCCTCAGCCTCCCGAGTGGCTGGGACTACAGGCGTGCACCACCATGCCCGGCTAATTTTTGTATTTTTAGTAGAGACGGGGTTTCACCATGTTGGCCAGGATGGTCTCGATCTCTTGACCTCATGATCCGCCCGCCTCGGCCTCCCAAAGTGCTGAGATTACAGGTGTGAGCCACTGCGCCTGGCCTCATCCACTATATTTGAACCGACCCAAAGGCCAGTGCTTTCTTAATTAAGTTCCCACAGGTGAACAAAGCCAAAATTCAGATTCTATTTTATTTATGGTTTAGAATTACCTACTGTGAAAAAAAAAAAAAACTAGCTACTATAAATTATTGGGGGTTAGTCCATTTAGTCCATTTTGGAGTTCATAACCTAAAGCAGAAACTCACATGGTTGAAATGTCACTTTCCCAAAGGATTGTTATTAGTGTATCATTTAGATTGTCTTGCAAAAGTCTCATTTGTTGTTTTTTCTAAATGGCTGCTAATCTTTTAAATTAACAGATAGAGGGCCAGGCACGGTGGTTCACACCTGTAATCCCAGCACTCTGGGAGGCTGAGGCAGTCGGATCACTTGAGGCCAGGTGTTCAAGACCAGCCTGGCCAACATGGTGAAACCCTGTCTGTACTAAAAATACAAAAATTAGCTCGGCATAGTGGCACACGTCTGTAATCCCAGCTTCTTGGGAGGCAGAGGCATAAGAATTGCTTGAACCCGGCAAGCGGAGGTTCCAGCAAGCAGAGATTGTGCCATTGCACTCCAGCCTGGGTGACAGAGCATTGCTCTGTCCACCTCCCAAAAATGTAGTTAATTTTTTTTCTTTTCTTTTTTTTTTTTTTTTTTTTTTGAGAGACGGAGTCTTGCTCTGTCGCCCAGGCTGGAGTGCAGTGGCACAATCTCAGCTCACTGCAACCTCCGCCTCCCAGGTTCAAGCAATTCTCCTGCCTCAGCCTCACAAGTAGCTGGGATTACAGGTGGCTACCACCACGCTTAGCTAATTTTTTGTATTTTTAGTAGAGACGGGGTTTCATCATGTTCGCCAGGCTAGTCTTGAACTCCTGACCTTAAGTGATCCCCCCGCCTCGGCCTCCCAAAGTGCCGGGATTACAAGCATGAGCCACTGCGCCCGGCCAACTTTCAATGTTAATTAGTTGTGGATTGTTTAACCATATACTGCATAGTTTCGCTTATCTATAATAACAGTAGTTTGGGGCTCTTATATTCTAATAATTAAGACTTTAGCTGTGTACACATTGCAATTAAAGTATGAGTCATGCATAACCTTATCACCAAGATACAAGAGGGAAAGCCCTTCTCCCCTAAAACTTTTACAAAGGTTCTGGGTTCTTTTTCCACTTAAGTGGGAAAAAGTCAGCTAATGAGGAACGTAAAGTCTTTGGCCTCATCTAAAGGTGCTTTGGCCCGCAAGTGTGAGAAGCACTGACCGCTGGGAAGTCCTCACTGCCTGGTTCCTGGACTCTTACACCATGGCAGAGGCCATCTTCCCTCCCAATGCAGAGTGATATCCAGATAGCGAGCTGGCTAGCAGCTGTCCACTCTCCAGCAATCCTGCCTTCTGGGGCATGGTTTTCTAAGGACCTTCCTGTTCCTAGATGATCAAAATTGGGACCAGCCACTCCCTTCTGAGCCACTCCTGCCTCTGGGCCTGTGGCTATGTCACAGTCCAGTCACAACAGGACATCCCTTCAGAACACCCTGCAGGAAGCTGACATCTCTATGCAGACTCACACATGCACGGTGTGTGCACAGGCCTTTGGTTCTACTTCAGGAGGTGTTGGGGGAGGCTCACTAGTCCAACAGAACTTGAGGCCAGTTGTACCAGTGTCATATCCCAGGAGCCAAGGTTACAAGGGATACAAAGTGCCCAGACCTACCAGAGAAGGCAAACCCCTACAGCATGCAGGGCTAGACAGGGGCGAGAAACAAGGTCATTCTGGGCCAGCAAGAAGAGGGAAAGGGAAATGACAGGCATACCTCGGAGATACTGAAGATTTGTTTCCAGACCATAGCAACAAAGTGAGTCACACAAACTTTTTAGTTTCCTATTGTGCATAAAAGTTATGTTTGTACTATATTGTAGTCTGTTAAGTGTACAGTAGCATTGTGTACAAAAAACTGTGTATATACTTAATGGAGTCTCGCTCTGTCACCCAGGCTGGAGTGCAGTGCCACGATTTTGGCTCACTGCAACCTCCGCCTCCTGAGTTCAAGCCATTCTCCTGCTCAGCCTCCCAAGTAGCTGGGACTACAGGTGCCCATCACCATGCCCAGCTAATTTTTGTATTTTTAGTAGAGATGAGGTTTCACCATGTTGGCCAGGCTAATCTTGAACTCCTGACCTCAAGTGATCCACCCACCTCGGCCTCCCAAAGTGCTGGGATTACAGGCGTGAGCCACTGTATCTGGCCATATACTTTAATTTTAAAATACTTAATTGCTAAACAAATGCTAACAATCATATGAGGCTTCAGCTAATCCTGATCTTTTTGCTGGGGGAGGGTCTTGCCTCCATGGATCAGGGGCATGGCTGCTGAAGGCTGCTTTGACAACTTCTTAAAATAAGACAATGATGTTTGCCATTTGCCGCATGGATTATTCCTTTCAATATTGTTGTGCCTCAGGGAATAGGGAGGCCTGGAAAGCAGAGTCGGGAGAATGGCCAGTTGGTGAAGCAGTCACAACACACACATTTTTCCATTAAGTTTGCTGTCTTATATGAGCATCGCTCATGGTGTCCCAAAACAATCACAATAGTTAACTTCAGTAACTGATTACAGGTCACTGTAACAAGTATAATAATGAAAACGCTTGAAACATTTTGAGAATTCCACAGCGTGACATGGAGACATGATGTCTGCCTGCTGTTGGGAAAATAGCACCAATAGACCTGTTTGATGTGCTTGACACAGGGTTGCCACAAGCCTCCAATCTCTAAATAAAAAACAGCATCTGCAAAGAGCAATAAAGGGAAGCACAATAAAAGGTACATCTGCAAAGGGGAATCAGCACTTAAGCAAGGTCAGGATGAGCTTTCAAGTCAGGTGGACCTAGACATGAACCCTCCAGGCCCTACCAACAACCAGCTGTGGACCTTCGAGCACATCCAGCCTAGAGCTGCCCCCAACAGACACTTCCCCAGTGAATGCTGAATGAAACCATCTGAGCCAGTTTCCTCAGGTGCAAACCAGTGAGGTAATTCCTACCTTGCAGAGTGAAGTGAGAAAACAGTGTTAAGAAAAAGGCATGCCGGGTGCGGTGGCTCACGCCTGTAATCCCAGCACTTTGGGAGGCCAAGACGGGCGGATCACGAGGTCAGGAGATCGAGACCACCCTGGCTAATACGGTGAAACCCCGTCTCCACTAAAAATACAAAAAATTAGCCGGGCGTAGTGGCGAGCACCTGTAGTCCCAGCTACTCGGGAGGGTGAGGCAGGAGAATGGCGTGAACCCGGGAGGCAGAGCTTGCAGTGAGCCCAGATTGCGCCACTGCACTCCAGCCTGGGCAACAGAGCGAGACTCCGTCTCAAAAAAAAAAAAAAAAAAAGACACAAGACCTGTGGTAGCCTTTCCTTTCTGTCTGGCAGCAGCCACTGGGTAAACCAAGATGGTGCATACAAGTACATCCAGAAGCTATGGAAGAAGCAGTCTGATGTCATGAGCTTTCTTCTGAGGGTCCGCTGCTGGCAGTACCACCAGCTCTCTGCTCTCCACAGGGATCCCCGCCCCACCCAGCCCAATAAAGCACGCTACTGGGCTACAGCCAAGCAAGGTTATGTTACATATAAGCGCCACGGTGGCTGAAAATCTAGTTCCTAAGAAGGCAACTTAACAGCAAGCCTGTCTATCATGGTGTTAACCAGCTAGTTTGCTTAAAGCCTTCAGTCTGTTACAGAAGAGCAAGCTGGATGCCACTGTGGGGCTCTGAGTCCTGAATTCTCACTGGGCTGGTTAAAGATTCCACATACAAAGTTTTTGAGGCTATCCTAGTTGATCCATTCCATAACACTATCAGAAGGAAACCTGACACCCAGTGGTCCACAACAAGCATAGGGAGATGCGTAGGCTATCTGCAGGCCAAGAGAGCCACGGCCTTGGAAAGGGCTGTAAGTTTTACCACACTATTGGTGGTTCTCGCCATGCAGCTTGGAGAAGGTGCAATACTCTCCAGCTCCACAGCTACCGCTAATGTTTGTAAAATTCATACCTAATAAACACTAGATCAAAAAAAAAAAATCACAGACCTGTGGTAGGCTGGGCACCAGTGCTCTAAAGCAAGTTCTGCCTAAACTGGCAGGGACATTTTTCACATCAGGAACAGGAGTTGTTCCTGGACTCTGTCTGGGGCCAGGCTGGGAGAGACGTGGGGCAGAGTGGGGCAGGGGCAGGGGCAGGGCTGGGGGCTGGGGCCTGGGCAGGGCCAGGCACTCAAGTGAGGCCAAGTCCTGGAGCGAACCAGTTCCTGGTGGCCGTTGGACAGCTCACACAGCTCCCGGCCAGGTCACCCGCCATGGTCCTCCCTCTGCCCTGGCTCTCTCGGTACCATTTCCTTCGCCTCCTTCTGCCCTCCTGGTCCTTGGCACCCCAGGGCTCCCATGGGTGCTGCTCCCAAAACCCCAAAGCAAGCATGGAAGAGCAGACCAACTCCAGAGGAAATGGGAAGATGACGTCCCCTCCCAGGGTAAGTGGCACCACAGGTAGGAACAGAGGGTGTGAGAATTTACACTGGGGTGTGGGAAAAAAAAACCCTCAATCCCACCCTGCACCACCCCACACCATGCCTACCCCTGCAGCTCTTTTCTTAGTTCAGCTACCAACTCCTCTCCCCACCTCCCCCAGCCCAGACCTCAGGGTTCCCTTCCCTCACCCCACCCCCACCCACAACAGCACAGTCCACAAAGTCCTTGAACAGGATCTATTCCCCCTCACCTAACAGTTAATTATTTCTTAGCGGGGAGGAGCGGCTGATCCTCTTTCCAGTGACCCCATATCCTTGTTCAAGGAAGCCAGTTACAGCCCCTGGGCCAGGGAACTCTATTTGCTCCCCCTACTACCACCCAGAGGCCTATGCCCAAGACAGGAAGCTACCTGGCCTTCTCAGTACAGGTGTCCTTAAATGACCGGTTCAAAAACGAATAGGGAAGGTGGAATTTCTCACTTCCAGCCACAGCCTGCGACAAAGCTTCCCAGGGCCTCGGCCCCCTGCCCTGGCTGATGCTCCCTCCCTTAATTCCCTGACCAGGGCCCTGGGACCCACCGCACAGCTGAGCTGGCCCGAGCTGAAGAGTTGTTGGAGCAGCAGCTGGAGCTGTACCAGGCCCTCCTTGAAGGGCAGGAGGGAGCCTGGGAGGCCCAAGCCCTGGTGCTCAAGATCCAGAAGCTGAAGGAACAGATGAGGAGGCACCAAGAGAGCCTTGGAGGAGG
Organism: Homo sapiens; assembly: GCF_000001405.40. Lineage (NCBI taxonomy): Eukaryota > Metazoa > Chordata > Mammalia > Primates > Hominidae > Homo > Homo sapiens. The sequence goes on from NT_167248.2 coordinate 2,785,791, forward strand.
TGCCTAAGTTTCCCCCAGTGCCCACAGCACCCTCCGGCACTGAAAATACACGCACCACCCACCAGGAGCCTTGGGATCATAAACACCCCAGCGTCTTCCCAGGCCAGAGAAAGTGGAAGAGACCACAAACCGCAGGCAATTGGCAGGCAGTGGGGGAGCCAGGGCTCTGCAGTCTTAGTCCCATTCCCCTTTGATCTCACAGCAGGCAGGGCACCCAGGCCTTATAGGAATTCACCCTGGACCATGCCCTAAAATAACCTCACCCCAAATACAATAAAGGGACGAAGCACTTATAGATACCACAGACACATGTGTTTCATTTTTAGTTTTGTTAAAAAAAAATTCTGACAAATCAGAAATGGGGGTTCAGGAGTGGTGGTGATGCAAAAGATGGAAGCCATGGGGTGGGGGCTGTCAGGGGTGGGGGCAGTAGTGTCTCCTTCACCCCCACCCTGGTGTCCTCTCCTGAAGGACAGACGGTCACATTCCAAAATGGGCGAGTCTTCTACCGTGTCTGTTCAACTGAGAAGAAAACGTAGCATGGTCAGAATAAGGCATGAAAAGGGGAAAGTGAGGCAGGAACACACGGCACACATGCAGACACTGGTGTACTGCCTGGGTTCAGAGGACGGACGTGGGGGTGAGGGAAGGGATGTAATATGATGAGAGAAGACAGAAACCCCACATAAAGGTCAGAAAAACATCCCAACACAGCATCAAAGACCAGGGGGCATGAACCAGTCAAGTGTCCATTATGCATCAGATGCCCATGACCTATGTGATGGGATTTAGGACAAACACACTAAGGAACAGGGAGGACCTAAAGGGTTTCATGAGATCAGTACTCACTGTAGGAGGAGATGTCTATCTCATCAGGCAGCTCACTAATATTGACCTCAAAGCGATCCTGCACATCATTGAGGATCTTGGCATCATTCTCATCGGACACAAATGTGATAGCCAAGCCCTTGGTGCCAAACCGGCCTGCTCTGGCCACCTGGAGGGAGACAGAGGGTAGCACTGGAAGACCGAAGAGGAAAGAGACCCAGAGGCAGGAATGAAGATGTACAAACAGAAAACAAGGGAATGGGAGAGTGGGATTTTTTCAGCCTGTGAGGTTTACCCGATGCAGGTAGGTGTCAGAATCCTCAGGCATGTCATAATTAAAAGCAATGTTCACCCGCTCGATGTCCATGCCTCGGCCAAATAGGTTGGTAGCCACAAGAATTCGTCGTTGAAAATCTTTAAACTGCTGATACCGAGAAAGCCTTTGTGAGAAAGGAAATTTAAAACATGTTGAGATTCCCTTCTCTCAACTGTCTTTTTCTCCCAAGGACACAAAATATCTTTCCCATCTTCAGCTCACCTCTCCTCCTGGGGCATCCCACGGTGGATGGCAATGGCTGGGAAGTTCTGCTCCACTAGTAGCTGGGCCAAGGCAATGCACCGCTGCACAGACTTCACAAAGATCACCACCTGTTGTGGGGTGGGGTGGGGGGTCGCAAATTGGGGGAATAGGGGTCCATGGTGTGTGAGAGACATTACGTGGGAGAGGGGAGTTTCTAGTAATTACGTTCTCAGGAATTCCTCTTCATTTCTCTTATTCCCCCACTATATATTTAGAGCAGAAAAGGAAATATAACTTTATTTCAGCACTGATTTTTCCCTAAGGAAGCTGGCCTCTGAGGTAGCACAGAGTTCAGAAATCAAAATTGCCAGACATGCTAGGAGATGAGGATGAGATCACCTCATGAAAAAGTGATAAAAAACTAGAATTAAGATCTGGAGGGGTAACTGATATTCCTGCTCACCAAAACATTAAACCTAAGGGAGCTATCCTAATTCTAGAAAGCAGTTTTAAATGCAAATAGACCACTCACAAGTATATTAATTAAACACTTTTTTGAGATGGGGTCTCACTCTGTCCCCCAGACTGGAGTGCAGTGGTGCAATCGCAAGTCACTGCAGCCTCCACCCTCCTGGGTTTAAGAGATCCTTCCACCTCAGCATCCCAAGCAGCTGGGACCACAGGTGCACACCACCACGCCCAGCTACTTTTTTTATTTTTTATTTTTACTATTTGTAGAGACGGGCGTCTCCCTATGTTACCCAGGCTGGTCTTGAAGTCCTGGGCTCAAGCAATGCTCCTGCCTCAGCCTCCCAAAGTACTGGGATTATGGGCATGAGCCACTGCCCTGCACCCAGTCAGAAATGCTTCTCTTGAATAAGCAGTTATTAGAGGAATTAAACATTCAAGAACCCTAACATGCCCCCAAACATCGTTTCAAGACTTTTAACAACTTCCTAAAATCCTTCAAGGACTTTTGGAGACAAGATCTCACTCTGTTGCCCAAGCTGGAGCACAGTAGTGCAATCATAGTTCACTGCAGCCTCAATTTCCTGGGCTCAAGCTATCCTCTCACCTCAGCCACCAGAGTATCTGGGACTACAGGCATACACCACCACACCTGGCTAATTTTTTTCTTCTTTGGTAGTGATGAAGTTTCGCCATGTTGCCCAGACTGGTCTCAAACTCCTGGACTCAAGTGATCCACCTCCCTCAGCCTCCCCAAGTGCTGGGATTACACACATAAGCCACCGTGCCTGGCCAAGGATCTTAATTTTTGAAGTTTATTTTCCTTGAGGTTATTGAGGACATACCCGTGCCAGCCATAGAATAGAAAAGCAGCTCCCACCTTACTCATGCTCAGCCCCTAAGATATTTATACCCTCATTATTCTCTCCCACATCACACATGTGATTTCCTCAATAAAAGTGTACTTAATATCCAGGTTTCTGCTACAGCTGGAGTGCTCCAATGCTCATCCCCCTACTGGACGTCTAACTGACCTGGTTGAACTCAAGGACATCCAGAAGGTCAAAGAGCTTCCGGTTCTTCTCGTTGTCCTTCAGTTTCACGTAGTACTGCTGCAACCCATGCAGCGTCAACTTCGTCTCATCATCCACGAAGATCTCCATTGGCTGGGGGGGAGGAAGGGGGTGGGGAACGGGAGGAGGGCAGAGTGGGGGGGTTAAACCTGGGGGGGTGGAGGAAGTTGATCTCCAATACACCCCATGGGGGGATGGGGAGGAAAGAGAAGATTGAAAACCCCACCCCACTCCCAAAAATACCCACATTTTACTGTGGTCTCTCTCACATTACATCTAATTTCCTTCCTATCAGATGAGTTTTAAGACTGCCCAACTAAAAACTATCATGGGAAAGAAACTGCAAATGAAGTCAAGGAGCAGTGAAACCACCCAATGGCACAGATGCCATTACCTCAAATAGAGGTGGGAGAGGAAAGAAAATGGGAGATGATTCTCAAAGGGAGAGCAAGGACCAAACATCTGGGAAATGATGGGAGGCAGTGACTCAAGGTCAGAATAACTCCATCAGAGGTGCTTCTAAGAACATGGGGTGGGGGGAGGACAACTGCTCCATTTGATTCTCCTACTTCAACTAAGAGAATCTCGTGTGCATTAGCAAAGTGGATGTCTTTTAAGATCAGAATGCTGCAATGGACAGTCAAAATGCCACTTAAGGAGAAACAAAAATTACTCAAGATGAGTTACTTGCCGTCAGACCACAACAGGATAGTTTTAGATGAGACTGGTCTCTTGACTAAGAATTAAACCATCTACAGGTTTACAGGAAAGGTATCAGTAAGTGGTGTTAAAATACCAAATTCAGAGCAGCAGATACGCTTTTAAGGGACAGGATCTCACCATGTTGCCCAGGCTGGAGTGCAGTGGCTATTCACTGGCACAATCATAGCACACTATAGCCTCAAATTCCTGGGCTCAAGTGATCCTCCTGCTTCAGTCTCCTGAATAGCTGGGACTACAGGCACACACCATTATACCTCACTGCATTCATCTTTAAAATTAAAAAACCCCCTGAAGGGGAGGAAAGTAACAAAGACAGAAATTACCACAACTCCAAAGCCCAACTTTCCTAACACTTTTTATACTATCCTGGGGGAAGATAGTTAATATGAAGACCCAGAGGACAAAATAGGAAAGGATGTGTGTGTCATGGGAAAAAAACCAGAAGCCCAATCCCAGAAGGCAGGTTTTGTTTTTTGTTTTGTTTTGATACAGGGTCTCACTCTATCACCCAGGCTGGAGTACAGTGGCACAATTACAGCTTACTGCCACCTCCACGTCCCGGGCTCAAGCAAACCCTCCTGCCTCAGCTTCCCAAGTAGCTGGGACTACAGGCATGCGCCACCACGCCCGGTTTTTCTGGTAGAGACAAAGTCTCACTACACTGCCCCAGCTAGTCTCAAATTCCTGGGCTCAAGCAATCCTCCCACCTTGGCCTCCCAAAGTGCTGGGATTAGAGGTGAGCCACCAGGCCCAGCCAAGGCAGGCTTTCTAAAGAGAAGTTCCATGGCCTCCTTCAAATCTCATTCTAGCCCCAAATACAGCTAAAGAGTGATCATCCCACGGGAAGGAACACTGCAGGGAGGGGAAGAACACACTCCACTGCTTATGCAATTGGCCCCACCTAGCCCCAAACCCTAACAACCACCCGATTACATCCACTTTACCTTTCCTATGTCCCTCTCCTCTGAGTATTAAAAAAAACAAAAAAATTTTTTTAAGAAAAAAAATCTACCACCCCATTCAGGACACCCCTCCCCAACACATATTGGGGGAAACGGGGCACGGCACGCGTTGGGTTCAGGAAAAAAACCGGGAACGGAAAAAGAGGCTGGTTTGGTCCTCAGCTTCCTGGTCAGGTTTCCCCGCGGCCTCCGCTGCCGCCATCCACCGCTGGGTGCCGTCTGCATTCCCTCGCCGCGCCACGGTGCTTCTCTGTTGCCGGCTCACATCAACCGAGGTTCCAGATGGGTGCAAGGAGATGTGGGTGGGAAGGAGTAGGGTATCGGGGATTGAGGTGCCAAAGGCCCCCACCCCTGGAGGTGGGGAAGGGGAGGATTCATTTGTGCTGATGCTCTTCTTTTGGACATGCCCTGCCATCTGTCTGTCCCTCTCTTGCTCTCCTGCCACCGGGAAGTAGGAGTTTTGGTGAGCAGAAGGCTCCAGCTGTATGCTCGATGCCACCTTGAGGGTGCGTGGCTGTAGGGTGCATGTAAGAGACGATGGATGGGTGGGTGGTAGGGCAGAAAAATCCTGCCCTCCCCCGAAGGGAGAAGAGGTTCAAAAATGTTGTGATTTATGAAAAAGTCGAACACTACCCGCTCTCACATTAACCCGACCAAGTCTTCCGGAGTTTCCCTGGCACCCGCGCAGGCCCTAACACTAGCTGTCTCTGCTTCTGTATGTCTCTTCAAGGAGTCATTACTCCCAGTTGGGCACAAGCCGCCTTCTTGGCACTTGAATGACAAGGGAGTCTGAGGAAGAGGGCGAGGAAGGGGAGGAGGCAGCGGGCGGGGAGTGGAGGGAGAGAAGGTAGAAGGGTATTTACATCTTGCATGAACTTGCGGCAGACTGGACGGATCTCTTTGCTCAAGGTAGCACTGAACATCATGACCTGCTTCTCGTGGGGGGTCATGCGAAAAATTTCCTGGACATCCCGACGCATGTCTACAAGAACAAGGAAAAAAATTGTAGGAGAAAATAAGCAGGTATGATAAACAAAGATTAGAGGTAGACTTCCCAGTGAGGTGAAGATTGCTGGAAATAGTAACAACACAATGGAAAGAGCAATGGACTTGGAATCAAGAAGTGGGATCAGATTCCAGCTGTTTGTTTTAACCAAGCAAGAAATAAGGTAAAACCCCAAAGTTCCCAACTATGAAATGGGGATAAAGCCCAGTGCAGAGGCTCTCAAGGCCTTCAAAACATGCTTTATGGGACCTTCTCCCAACCCTTTCCTGCCCAAGCCCCAGCCAGCCTTCAGCAGACTACAAATATCAAGCACATATTATATTCCAGATATCAGAGTCCATCTATGACTCTCTGGATTACTTTTCTATCAAGTCAGGCAAATATGACATCCCTACCTGGAGCCCACCTTTACAGCTCACCATATAGAATTGCCAAAGATCATTTGTAATGACTTATGGGGCCTATGTCCAACCCCACTCTCATTCACCAAGATTCAATTCTTACAGAAAAATCTTCCATTAACCCCACCTGGCACACTAGAATACCACATCACACAAACTGCTACAAACACTCTCTACATTAATCCCAGACCTGAGTCTAGACACTTATTCAGCTATAAATTCTGACTGTAAATGCTGTGCTGGAGATGCCAGAAGGGTACTGTCTTCTCTTTCAGTTTAGAATCTCCCCTATGACTCCCAGTATATGAATCTATAATGAAAACGGTGATGGTGGTGATGACTTATGCCTAAAATTATCAAAGTCCCCTATTCTCAAAGGTTAAAAACAAAAATCATAGAAAGATGATAGATGACACCCTTTACTGTGCTTAAAAGCATAATAAAGACCAACCAGGGAACCCAGAGCCATCAGTCATGGGTGATAGATAAGAGTCGTCCTTGCACTGAGGTGCTCCTGTTTCAAATAAACATCATTTGGCTCCAAAGAACAACTCCCCAGCATTAGCCAAGCCCCAGCACTGCCACTCACCGAGCTGTTCAAGCATCTTATCACATTCATCCAAAATAAAGTGTTTAATGTGTTTGAGGTTGAGGCTCTTATTTCGAGCCAGGGCTAGGATACGGCCTGGAGTCCCCACGACGATATGCGGGCAGTTCTTCTTCAGCACCTCTTCATCCTTCTTGATAGACAGACCACCAAAAAAAACAGCAACCTGCCGAGCCAGAAGCAGAGTCTCAAAACAGAGGAAGGAAAGAGTCCAATCCCCCCAGGGTTCCCACTCTGTTTGAGCTAAACCAATTTTTAGCATGTTTCCAAACTAAAACTAACTTTAGAGGTCACCTAATTTAAAAATTTTATGTCCCCCCCACCAAACACTGAGGGTGATTGCCTAAAGTTACATGGCTAGTCGGAGCAGTCAGGACAATAATTCAGTTCTACTGACTTAATCTAACCAACTTCCTTCATTTATGAGGCCAGGCTTCATTTAAAAAATAAAGGAGCCAGGTGTGGTGGCACACGCCTGTAATTCCAGCTACTCAGGAGGCTGAGGCACGAGAACCTGGGAGGCAGAGGTTGTGGTGAGCCAAGATCCCACCGTTGTACTCCAGCCTGGGCAACAAGAGTGATACTCCATCTCAAAAAGAAATAAAATAAATAAAAATAAAATAAAGCCAGGCCCAGTGGCTCACGCCTGTAATCCCAGCAGTTTGGGAGGTCAAGGAAAGTGGATCACTTGAAGCCAGGAGTTCAAGACGAGCCTGGCCAACACGGTGAAACCCCATCTCTACTAAAATACAAAATTTACAAATTTACTACTAAAAAACAAAAAATACAAAATTTAGCCGGGAGGCTGAGGCAGGAGAATCGCTTGAACCCGGGAGGTGGAGATTGCAGTGAGGCGAGATTGAGCCACTGTACTCCAGCCTGGATGACAGAGCGAGACTCCATCTCAAAAAATAAAAAATAAATAAATAAAGGACAGCAAGAAATCACCAGATTAGTGTAAAGTACCACAAAAAACACATGGAACATTAAGGTTTCCTAAATAAACCCAGAATCTCAAACTCTTTTCACACAAACCCCATGAAATTACTGCTTCGGGCTAAATATTATCATTTCATGTTAAAACCATTAGGTGAATAGTTGTTTGGGGATCTGGGCCTTGGTACAGTATCAAATAACACCAGAAACTACTTTCTGGTTTCAAGGGGGAAAAGAACAACTGTGGAATCAGACTGTCACGACGCTAATCCTATGGTAAATCTAAAATCATTAATGAGGCCAGGTGCAGTGGCTCACTCCTGTAATCCCAGCACTTTGGGAGGCCGAGGTGGGTGGATCACTTGAGGTCAGGAGTTCGAGACCAGCCTGGCCAACATGGCGAAACCCTGTCACTACTAAAAAAAAACAAAAATTAGCCAGGCATGATGGCACACTGTAGTCCCAGCTACTCGGGGGGTTGAGGCGGGAGAATCGCTTGAACGTGGGAGGCGCAGGTTGCAGTGAGCTGAGATCGCGCCACTACACTCACAGCCTGAAGGACACAGCGAGACTCCATCTCAAAACAAATAAATAAAAATAAAATAAAATAACTAACATAAGTCGACCAGATTTGTGGCATAACAGGAGATACAGCATCACCTATGAAGGATTCTTGCCAAAAATGCTTAACTTCAATCAGATTTTTTCTTTTTTTTTGAGATGGGAGTCTCACTCTGCCACCCAGGCTGGAGTGTAATGGCACAATCTCAGCTCACTACAACCTCTGCTTCCTGGGTTCAAGCGATTCCCCTGCCTCAGCCTCCCAAGCAGGTGGGACTATAGGTGTGTGCCACCATGCACGGCTAATTTTTGCATTTTTAGTAGAGAGAGGGTTTCATCCTGTTGGCCACATTGGTCTTAAACTCCTGACCTCAAATAATCCACACGCCTTGGCCTCCCAAACTGCTGAGATTACAGGTGTAAGCCATTGTGCACTTGGCCAGAATCCTCAATATTCACACACCACTGGAGCTGTTTTAAAGTTTCCGGCTTTCTCTGCCACATACCCCAAAATTATTAAACTGATATGATTCAAAGTCAGTATAAAGTAGTAAGAAAAGGGTGGTCTTGTGTTAAGCATCATCCATAGCCCAATTACGAATCCTCCTGTTACATAGGAACTCAACACTCTGTTACACCACAGCAAACTAAAGCTTCTCCAAAATTAAAGAGACTATTGGCCTACAAGTTTCTTATCCCTCCAACTTGCCACACCCTCACTCTCAGGTCTCTTTACCTTGGCTTACCTTGACATTGGGCATGTATTTAGAGAAGCGCTCATATTCCTTGCTGATCTGAAAAGCCAACTCCCGAGTGTGACACATCACCAGCACAGACACCTTAGGCAGGAAGTATACGGAGACATATGGTAAATGTAGCTCTTCATTATCCCCTCTAGGGAAGTGACTGTCACAAAAACACACCTGGGCCGATAATAAATGACTTCAATTCTGTGATCTAAATCATGAACCCCACGCTTGCGACAGAACATCCCCCACAGCTGTCAGGTTGTCAAGGGTAACAGAGGTCATGTGCTCATGGCTCTGCAAGCATCATGTAGTTAGGACAAAAACACCCTTCCCTTATAGTCCTAACCAAAATCCCCTCCCCAGCACTCTCCCCAAATATACCTGCCCAGTAACTGGCTCCAGCTGTTGCAGTGTGGCCAAGACAAACACTGCTGTCTTTCCCATGCCCGACTTGGCCTGGCACAGGACATCCATTCCCAGAATGGCCTGAGGGATGCACTCATGCTGGACTAAAAGTTGGGGGGGGAGGAAGATAAATTAGACTTCAGTCTCCAGATAACTCTACCTTTTTCACCATGCCAAGCCCATTTCTTACCACTCAATTCTCAAAGTCTAGTATTTACCTGGTTCTTGCCAACTTCCAGACCCATTTTACCTCTCTCTGCTCAATTACATTCACCTCAAAATCAGACTCTCCTAATTCCTCCTAGCTTTAGCCTCCTCCAGATCTAGGCCTTCCCAGTCCTAGTAACAAACCCCTTGCATCTACCAACCGCTCACCTTCAATGATCCTAGCTCTGTCCTTATTTTTCTTAATCTGTAACAATTCATGACATTTGAATACCTGCCACAGACCACTTCTCCTGCTTAGGTTGCTATACTTCGGGTCACGTAACTACTACAACCCTGGACAAAATGAAGGACTTGGTACCTGACCCAGAAGCCAGTCATCTCTAAACCAGTCATAGAGGTTTCCAGAGACCACAGTTGGCCTGGCCCAACAGAGGGAGACTACAGGTCCAAGCAGGACCTTTCTGGAAATTTAAAATTAGAAGTCAAGTGACAAAATTAAAAATAAGCAGACAAGAAAAGCCAGTCACAAGAATGAATGGCAGACCTGGAAGTCACTTTTGGATCATTAGCACTTTGGTGCTATCACGAAAGAAAGAATAAGCCTGTATAAGCCTCCTCTATCCAAAATTGTTTTTGATACTTATCCCGATTTTTTCTTCCTCACTGTCGCCCCGGCTGGTGCACAGTGGTGCAATCACGGCTCACTGAAGCCTCAACCTTCACCTGCTTAATTTCTGAACGTTTTGTAGAGACAGGAGTCTCGCTATGTTGCCCAGGCTTCTCTTGCACTTTTGAGCTCAAGTGGCCACCCTCCTGCCTCGGCCTCCCAAAGTGCTGGGATTACAGGCGTGAGCCACTGCACCTGGCCCTGATCTAGCCTTAAGTATAAACCCTTACCACCACCTGAGCAACGACAAACACATCTTTGTATTGTACCCTTAAAGAGCCCAATGAGCACTACATGCCCAAGAGAAAATTTACCTTCTGACGGATGCTCAAAGCCACAGTCGACAATGGCCCGGAGCAACTCTGGCTTGAGCAGGAAGTCACGAAAGCCAGAGCTGTGGATGGAGACATAGGAGCCCTTGACATCCTTCTTGGCAGGGGCCTCAGCCCCATCTCCCCCAGCTGCTGTCTCCACCTCATCATCTTCATAGTCCAAGAGCTCATTGTCCACATCGTTCTCTGCCATAACTGGGCCGGCAGGGGAAGAAGGGAAGGGGGATCTGGATGGGTTCTCGCAAAATAGGTGAAAACAAGGGGTGAAGAGTAGGGGATTGAGGAACAGCAAAGGAAAACAAAGATACTATTTCTAACAGAAGAGCTGGAGGGGGGAAAAAAAAAGCAAGACTTAATCACGAGCACAGCCTTCACCACCTCTTTTCCATCCCCAGTTCCCACTTTCCCTAAACCAGGAAACTTTTACCTGGAAAGAAAAACAGATACAAAACATAAAAACGAAAAGCAAATATAACAGAACAGAAAAAGCAGTACCAGGGAAAGTGGTTAGGACAGAGGTTCCCAACAAGATTAGCAATCACAGTAGCGGAAACCAGAAAAGTTGGAAGGGGAAGACCAACTTATAAATTCTTGATCTGAAAGTAACAGTGAGGAAATAGAATAGATAATAAAAGGTAAAATATGACTAATAACTTAGTAAAGTGGAAAATGGAGATGACAAGTAGAGTCCTGAAAAGTCCTCAAAGGAAGACTCCGCTTTCCCTATTATAATCCCACCGTTATGGATGCCTAACTCAGCAGCCATCAGTCAAGGGTGATAGATGAGGGTCATCACTGCGCAAAGCGCTCACCTTTCGAAAAGAAAACATCATATGGCCGCCGTCCACCTCCCATAGCTCTCAGCCTCCCACTTCTCAGTATCCTCCCTTCCGCTGTTTAAGCAAGCCTTGTGTAATTAGCATGGGGGGGAGGGGCGGTGCAAGACAAATGGCTCGGCCACAAAAAAACAAAATTCATGTCTCCACCCTACAATAAGAAAGCTAATAGGTGACAGAGAAAGGCAATCCCCGCCCAGGCTTTAACAGGATCTTTACCAAGTGGTCTCACATCACTGTTACGCTACGAAGGTGAGACTCCTTTTGGAGAAACATACAATGACACCAATCGTATCGTAAACACTTGGAAGGCACTCCAAATTAAGTTGGGCAAGTCAAGGTGAGAAAAATCCAACTGGGCCCAGAAACCAGCTCCTCCTCCCAGTCCCACCGAGGGCCGAAAAAGAGCTCAAGAAAGAACAAGGAAGGTGAGAAGAGCCCCGCCCTCCGCAAATACCAAGACCAAGGGACGCCGAGCACCGCCTCTCATTGATGCTGAGGCCTCCAATATGAGAAGAACCCATTGGAAGAAGGGAGCAAAACGAACACAATGGCGCCGAGGACACCATCTTGGATTGGGTCCCCCCTTAGCTTCCCTTCCTTCCCCCAGGAGCTCTTTGCTCTCGAAAGGGATGCAAGCTAAGGAAATAGCGAACCAACTAGGCCCCAGCGACCAGACCATCGCCTGTGAAAAGGGTATCAGGAACCCATGTGACGGGATGGGTGCGGAGAAGCGCAGATGGAAACGGATTGTAGCGAAGGCCAAAGCTTACCTAAACAGGGAGAGCGCGTATGGCGGCAGCAACAGCGACGAAGGAGGGAAATCTGCCTTCACTTCCGGTTGCAGGCTTCCCTCTACTCCAGCCTCCCGCCTTCTTGGCTGCAAGAGCGCAGGCGCAAGGGACCGGAAACAGGGCCTTCCGCGGTTATACAGATCCGTGCGCTCCAGGCTTGCCTTTGGAAAATGCCTGTCTGAAATTTGTTTTAAAACCGTTTCTAACTTCACTGCTACCGCCAGTAACAAAAGATATAAAGGAAACTAACGTCTCCCCCCCACTGTTATCTTTATTCTCTTATCCTACTCCTCTCCATGCCCCTCATCTCTTCGTTTAGGTTTTTGCCACGCAGGTCTTCTCTGTAGGCACCCCTCCGTGGATGCGCGAGGAACGAGTGTGGCGAAGGCTGCGAGTTCCCACGGGGTCCTTGGCCCGGTAGTGAAGGTGACCTGAGGACTGCTGGGCACGCACTAGGAACCGGCAGGCCCTAGCTGAGGGGAGGGAGGAGGGAAGTCTCAGGGAACTGGATTGCTCGGGGGTGTTTCCCGACTCTTTCCCAGTCGTGGGGCTGGTGGGCGGTATTTTCCCAAAAGGATGCTGTCCGAGGTAGCTGATGCCCTAGGGCCAGTGAGTCAGGAAGGTGTTCTGAATCCGAGCGGGAAGACGGGGTCTGGATTCGGCCCCAAGTGTTAATAGTAGGGCTTGAGGGTTATACTACATTCCATTAATACTGTTTTTGTTTTTGTTTTGAGACAGAGTCTCGCCCTGTCGCCCAGGCGGGAGTGCAATGTCCTGATCTCGGCTCACTGCAACCGCTGCTTCCCGGGTTCAAGCGATTCTCCTGCCTCAGCCTCCCGAGTAGCTAGGATTACAGGCGCCCGCCACCACGCCCAGCAAATTTTTGTTTTTTTAGTAGAGACGGGGCTTCACCCATGTATGACCTCAGGTGATCCACCCACTTCGGCCTCCCAGAGTGCTGGGATTACAGGCGTGAGCCACCGCGCCCGGCCCATTAATACTGTTAATTCGAGCAGAATGTTCTTGGCCCCGCCCCAACAGCCCCATTGTTCAACCTGGATTTTTTTCCTGAATGAAACATTTGCTATCCCCGTCTTTGAGATGGGGAGCCACAAAAGTAAGACCTGATGTCCTGCTGTGTAATAAAACAACAAACGTTTGGCCCTCTCCCTGTTAGCATACTTAATCATTTAATACTAAGGAGTAGGTACCGTTATTCTCATCTTATTGACAGAAGCGAAGCAAAGCAACATATCTCAAGCAGTACGGCTGGTGAGGTTACAGCCAGGATGCAAACATCTCTCATTCTCTATTGTATTCTGCCTCCCTGCTCAAAGAATCTGGTTAGTAAATACACTGCAGGTTACCTTATTGGTTCAAATTCTTGGTGAAGTAAGCTTGTCTTCAGTGACAAATGAAGTAACTAATTCAAGAATGGTGTCATAGAAGGTATTTTCCCAAGTATCATTTAATTTATTCAAAAGTATTTATCAACTGCCTCCCTTGTGCCACATGTTGTCCTAGGATCTGGGGACACAACGGTGAACAGCCCTGTTCTCACAGTGTTTACATTACAGGAAAGAAAACACATAAACACAAATACAATGTCAAGTATCGATAAGTGGTCAGGGTGCAGTGGCTCAGGCCTGTAACCCAACCCTTGAGGAAGCCGAGCCCGAAGGATTGCTTGAGCCCAGGAGTTTCAGACCAGCCTGGGCAAGTGAGACCCCATCTCTACAAAAAATTTTAAAATTAGCAAGGCATAGTGGCACTCGCCCGTAATCCCAGCTACTCAGGAGGCTGAAGTGGGAGGATCATTTGAGTCCAGGGGGTCAAGGCTGCCGTGAGCTGGAACTCCAGCCTGGGCAACACAGCAGGACCTTGTCTCAAAAAACCAGTAGCAGTAAGTGCTATGAAGAAAATGCAAGGTAAAGGGGCAAAGAGCACTTGCTCCTACACTCCAGCTTTTCTCTACAGTTGCGATCTATAGTCCTCAGATTCCCAAATGAGGAACCATGTTTCTCACTTTAGAGAAATAATAAAGTACTACTTGTTCTTGTTTCTCCAAGAAGTTTCAAAGGATAGCCATTTGGGCTGTTTAGGGAATATGTAAACAAAAAACAAGAAAGTGACTGAAGGCCAGGCACAGTGGCTCACACCTCTAATCTCAGCACTTTGGGAGGCCAAGGCAGGTGGATCACTTGAGGTCAGGAGTTTGAGACCAGCCTGACCAACATGGCGAAACCCCATCTCTACTAAAAATACAAAAAATAGCCAGGCGTGGTGGCACACACCCATAATTCCAGCAACTTGGGAGGCTGAGGCAGGAGAATCGCTTGAACCTGGGAGGCAGAGGTTGCAATGAGCTGAGATCACGCCATTGTATTCCAGCCTGGGCAACAAGAGCAAAACTCCATCTCAAAAAAAAAAAAAACAAAGTGACTGAAAATGAGAAATGATGAGGCAAAAGGAGGCTGCTTCAACTCACCAATTTATTTGCCAATAATTATTTTATTGATACTTTTTTTATTGTTACAATGGGAAAGTAAGGTGTCAAGGATATAGAAAGGAAGGGCATGCATATGAGGGAACACAGTATCATTTTAGATCTTAGAAAGCAATGAGCATCTGATAAGTCTTTGGGGAAATAGGAAAGGAGGAAAATCTAATAAAGACAAAGATCAGCAAAAGAAAAACAAAGAGAGGCTACAAAATGCAGTTATCTACCTGGAATTATAAGAGAGGGGCTAAATGTAGTCATCTCCTCTTTTTGGAGATCAGAAGGTCTCTGGGAAAAGAGAAGAACCAATTTTTCAGAAAATAACTAGGGTCACAGAATGAACAAGTGGAATTAGAGAGCCAGTGATGGACGTGAGGAAACAGCTGTGTAGGTTTTGACCAGTGAGCAGGTGGTGGTAATAGTATCACAGGGTTGCTACTTACTGAATCACTGCTACAACATGCAAGGAACTGTGCTAGACTTTACAGAATGATTCCTAATCATTGAAGCAACCCTCACAAGGTAGGCATTATTATCATCCCAGTTTCACAGAGGAGGACATCGAGGCTACCAAGTTAAGTAGCTTGTCCTGGTTTCACAGCCAGCAAGTGACAGGGTCAAGAGAGGGACCCACATCGGCCAGACACTGAAGTCAGGATGTTTTCCACATTCCTACTTCCCCATATTACAAATTTCACAGAGGGTTTAGGTGAGAATGACTTGGAAGTTTACAAAGTCCCAGTGAGGGTTAAAGAACAACAAGGAGATTCAGATGTGAGCAGGATATTTATAAGTGTCACAGGAAAATTATTGGATCCTGCCTCCCAGGATTTCTAGGGGATGGAAAGAAGACAGGGATTATGGTGGGAGGTGATTTTGATTGGAGGATTTCTTTGAGGGAGGGAACTGGCAGAAGGAGTCAGGCCCTACGGTGGCCCTAGGCAGAAATCCGGTAGTTGGGGTGGACCTGGGGCCTGACGTCGCAGACCATGCCAAGAAGCTGGGCCAGGACACGCTCTCGGTTTCTCTGCTGGGAGCTCTGCATGCCCTGCACCTGGCGCCTTGTAGCCTGCTCCACCTCAGCAGACAGGTTCCCCTGGGAGCCCATGGCCTGGGGGGTAGGGAGAGGGGTGGAAGAGAGAAAGGGAAAAGCAGAAACAGACAAGGGTCCAGGCATATGAGGGGAAAGATCCTGAAACAAAGCCTAGAAGAAAGGCCCTCTCAGAAACCACCCCCATCCCACAGAAATATCCCAACACCAAAGAGATCAACACAGTCCCCTTTCCCCTTAGACCTAACATGCAACTTCATCCTAAAACAGACCGTAATATCCCCACCACCTCACCATCCATGACCATAAAACTCTACCCTCCACCACAAATGTTAATCATACTCCACATAGATGTTATACTTTACACAGACTGTGGCATTCCGCCCACAAGCTCTATGTGGCCTTCAAAACTCCCAGACTCTCCTACATATCATCACAAAGTTTCACCAATGTTGTGGTCCCTGCCAGGGTCCCCTCAGCCTCAGCCCTCTGCCACCATATTTTCTTGTTGAGTCACCCTTACACACCTCACTAGATGCACCCACCAACTTGCAGTGGGGTCTCATCCCGACTCTGCCTCAACTCACCGCCTGCTGCTTGCTCTGGAATTCGTGCTCTCGCTCTCTGCGGTATTGCTCCACCTCCATCTGTGCCTCCTCCTTTGCCTGCTTCAGTCGCCGGGCCTTCCCTGGAGGCAGAAGAAAGGACAGTGAGTGGGGATGGACCCACACACACACAATGTAATAGCAGGAGTCAGTCCCTTCCAGAAAGTTATACAGCCTTCTCTCAGCCAACCAGGTGCCAGATTCTAATATCCATCCATTTCTTCCCTCCTAACCAGCCTCCAGACCCTAGCTGTCTTCCCGCCAGCCTTGGGTTTTCCCAAAATGTTTGCTGTCCCCCACCCCCAATTTTCTTTCCAAACTCCTAAGGGAGGAAAGAGGAGACTCACTCTTTCTGGCATCTGCCACCTTCTCAGCTGCCCGCTTCTCAGCTTGCAGAAGCTGCTGGATACCTTGGGACTGACTGGCCATTTCTGTTGTTATGGCCGATGCTGTTTTGAATGCTGTCAAAGTACCAGATGGCTCCCACCCCCCACCGCTTACTTCTCCTCCTCCAGCTCGTTGCTGCAGTCCTCCACTACCCCTGGGTCTTAGTGCTCCCCTGCTCACTCAGCCTCCTGCACCGAGTGTCTCTCCCAATCTCATCCTCCTATTGATGACTGGTCCTCCTCTCCAGCACTTCTTGCTCAGGCAGTACCCAAAGGGGCCGCCTGGGAGCAGCAGAGACCAGGCCCAAAGCTGCGGGCTTACAACAGGTTAGCCATCCCAGTCGGAAAGGTCTAGGGATGAGGCAGGGGCGGAGACGGGGGAGTACTGAGGTGAGAGAAGGAGAACTTGATTGGTGGTAACAGAGGAAGCATAAAGGGTTGTGAATGCGGTGAAAAGGTAAGGATGTCATCATGCAACCTGTGTTGGGAAAAGAGCATTCTGGGCTTAATTCTAAACTAACTCTCTACCTTTCTCTCTCTCTCCACCATCCCGCCCCCTCCCCTGCCTCCCGTTGTTAACATCTCCATCTTTTTCTACATATTTCTCAAGTCCAAATTTTTGCATCTCACTTGCCCCATCCTACGATAGTCTTCTTCCGTCTTTTGTCTGTATTTTTTCTTTTTTTTGATCTGTCCCTGTTGTTGTCCCACTGTGGTTTTTGTTTTTGTTTTCCATGTTTAATGTGATTTTTATCCTGTCTTTATCTCCTCTATTTTCTCTGTCTTCTCATCTTTTCGTCCATCACTGAACCATCTCCTCTCTCTGCCAAGTTAGAGGAGGCGGGAAAAAACCTCCAAATAACTCTCTTTTCTCCCTCCCCTCCCCTCGCCTCCTTTTCCTCGCCTCCAGTCCAGTCTTCTGGTTTCAGACGGCCCCTTTAATTTAAGTTCCCTAGTTTCCCCTGGGAGATCTGGCCAAGAACTACCCGGTCGGGGCGGAACGACATCCGGTAACGCCCCTCACAGTTCACTTCCGTCCTCCACCTGCGTCTCTGCTTGCGCCATTTCCTCCAGCCTGGAGTGTCTCCGCCCTTCCCGCCTCCCGTCTCCGAGCTTCTTAAACACAGGCCTTGGGCCTACGGCTCTGGGGGTACTTGGGGGGGCGGGGGCAGGTCTGATGAGTAACCCCTCCCCCCAGGTTCCAGAGGAAGAAGCCTCCACATCTGTCTGCCGGGTACATGATATTCAATTTCTAGATCATTATTGGAGATTATCTGTGACTTTTTAAAACTCAGATTTCTGCTGATAAAAATTTTCCCCATCCGGCCCTGTTGGGTTTTTTTAAAGTTCTTTGTTAAAAATTAAAAATTTACCTGGGCTCCTGAGCCTTAAACCAATTATTTACCCTTTTCTCGAATTTTACATTAAAAAAATTAAACCTCTGATCCTATCACCCCCCTCAAAAAAAATTTTTTTTCAAATCTATCATCTGATAAAGGATCAGGGTTAGGTTAGGCCTCATCTCTTGCTGAAGATATTAAAAAAAGACGGAACCAAAGGGAGAAACAACAGGGGATGTCAGAGATGGAGGGAGAAGGACCAGCCAAGGCTGAAGTCCTGACTGCTGCCTTTTTTCCTTCCCCAGCCCAAGAGTTCCATGGCCTCCACTTCCCGCCGCCAACGCCGAGAACGTCGCTTTCGTCGTTACTTGTCTGCAGGACGGCTGGTCCGGGCCCAGGCCCTCCTCCAGCGACACCCAGGCCTCGATGTAGATGCTGGGCAGCCCCCACCACTGCACCGGGCCTGTGCCCGCCACGATGCCCCTGCCCTGTGCCTGCTGCTTCGGCTCGGGGCTGACCCTGCCCACCAGGACCGCCATGGGGACACGGCACTGCATGCTGCTGCCCGCCAGGGCCCAGATGGTGAGTCTGCTCAGTGGGGAACAAGGTCATAAGCAGCTGACCAGACCTGAAATGAAAGCCAACCAATAGTTGAGAAATAAGCTGGTTATTTGGTCATCAGGACCTAGGGAAGGAGTTAACCAAGTTGGCATGTGGCTGTCATTTGTCCCTTTACATTACTGAGCTACCATTGTCTGAAGAACCCAACATTCCCCAAAGATCAACTGGTCTTCAAATTTCACATCTGTTTAGATTAGTAGCTACTTTGTTTCTTGACAGATTGTTTGCTCGTAGCCAAAAAGTAGCATAGAAGGTAGGCTCTGGAGTTAGATTGCCTGGATTCAAACCCCAGCTCCAAATCCCAGCTCCACACTTCATAGCTACGTATTCTTGGACAGGTTACTTGAGGCTTAGTTTGCCCATGTGTAAAAATTAAAATAATAACAACCTTTGCTATGTGCCAGACATTTCTTATAAAGTAACACATTTAATCCTCACAACAATCTTAGGAGGTGAGTACTGATATTATCCCCCATTTCCCAGCTGAGGAAACAGGGCATAGAGAAGTCATTTGCCAGAGTTACAGTTATTCACTGGTAGAGCAGAGATTATAACCCAGATGGACTAGATAGAGTGTCCATGCTTTTAACAGCTACATTGTCCTGTGTTATACATTATAGCATTGTACATTGATTGTGCCCATGTTCAGAGTACCCATGTTGTGCCATATATGTTTTGAGAATCAACTGACATAGTACATAATTAGAGTACCTGGCACACACGATAAGCACTTGGTATATGCTGGCGATTGTTGTTCCTGTTTCTCTGTTTTTTGTTTTTGTTTTTGTTTTTTATGAAGTTTCACTCTTCTTGCCCAGGCTGGAATGCAATGTTGCGATCCTGGCTCACTGCAACCTCTACCTCCCAGGTTCAAGTGATTCTCATGCGTCAGCCTCCCAAGTAGCTAGGATTACAGGCGCATGCCACCACGCCCAGCTAATTTTTATATTTTTAGAAGAGATGGGTTTTCGCCATGTTGGACAAGCTGATCTCGAATGCCTGACCTCAGGTGATCCACCAACCTCAGCCTCTCAAAGTGCTGGGATTACAGGTGTGAGCCACCACACCTGGCCTTGTTCCTGTTTTTGTTATCAACAGGTCCATACTCCCTTAACCACAATTCTAAACTCAAAAACACTCTGAGAACCAACATTTTTCATCAGGCTGCCACCAAAATTCATTTGGTGACAGAAACCTAATCTGAACTAAAGTAAGACTATTATTTATTTTCATCCTACTGATGTCAATATTCATACATTTCCCTGCAGAAACACTCATGTGTTTGGTTCTTGGGCTGCCTAGGCCCTCCTGGGCTACCTAATATAGAGTGAGTGTACTTTTAGGTCAGCCCTATCAAGTCCCAAAAACATTTGAATTCTGCAAAACCTTTGGCACTGAAGGATTCAAATGGGGAACCTGGTGATATTATAATAGTGGTGGAGGCCAGGTGCGGTGGGTCATGCCTGTAATCCCAGCACTTTGGGAGGCCAAGGCAGTCAGATCACGAGGTCAGGAGTTCGAGACCAGCCTGACCAACATAGTGAAACCCCCATCTGTACTAAAAATACAAAAATTAGCCAGGCATGGTGGCACACACCTGTAGTCTCAGCTACTTGGGAGGCTGAGGCAGGAGAATCACTTGAACCCGGAAGACAGAGGTTGTGGTGAGCCGAGATTGCACTACTGCATTCCAACCTGGGCAACACAGCAAGACTCCGTCTCAAAAAAAAAAAAAAGAGTGGTGGAAGCAGCTCTTTATAGGTAGAGCCCTGCTTACTAGAATAAAAGCTGAAACCTTCTTTCCCCATCTAGAGATTTCCTTCTGGAGTAAGAACATTACAGGAAAACCTCTAGATCCAGATGAACAACCCTAACATCCCCCAGCTCAAGTATAGACAGAAGGCCCCTCCCCCAAAACTCCCCCAAATGGTCAAAAAACCCCCTATTTAAAAATTTCCTTTAACGTACCTGAGATAGGCTAGCATATTCAGATTTGTTTCTTGTTGTTTTTACTTAAAACAGAGTAGGTTTACTGAGTGCAGGCATCTAACTTGACAGCTCATATTGTAAGAGGCAGGACCCTGGAAGGCAAAAGAGCAGATTACCCCGAAGCAGACCTGCATCCAGACCCCAGCTCTGCCATCAACAGGGACATGCAGCTTACCTCTGTGAGCCCAATTTGCCTCGCAAAAATGGGAGTTTTGTTTTTTGTTTTGTTTTGTTTTTTTGAGATGGAGTTTCCCTGTTGTTGCCCAGGCTAGAGTGCAATGGCGCGATTTCAGCCCACCTCAACCTCTGCCTCCTGGGTTCAAGAGATTCTCCTGCCTCAGCCTCCCAAGTAGCTGGGATTACAGGCATGCACCATCACGCCCGGCTAATTTTGTATTTTTGGTAGAGACGGTTTCTCCGTGTTGGTCAGGCTGGTCTCAAACTCCCGACCTCAGGTGACCTGCCAGCCTAGCCTCCCAAAGTGCTGGGATTACAGGCGTGAGCCACCGCGCTCAGCCAAAATGCCCCTGATAGTGTGGTAGGGATTTCCTTTATTGTTTGTTTGCTTGTTTGTTTTGAGACAGGGTCTCATTCTGTCTCCCAGCCTGGAGTGCAGTGGTGCAATCATGGCTCACTGCAGCCTCTACCTCGTGGGCTCAAGCAGTCCTCCCACCTCAGCCTCCCTAGTAGCTGGGACTACAAGCACACACCACCATGCCCAGCTAATTGTTTGTATTTTTGGTAGAGACTGTTTTGCTATGTTATCCAGGCTGTTCTGCATCTCCTGAGTTCAAACAGTCTGCCCACCTCGGCTTCCCAAAGTGCCGGGACTAGAGGCGTGAGCCACCACACCCAACTCCATTGTATTGAATTTTAAGAAGCTGGTGAGACTGATATTATCCCATTTACAGATGAGGAAAGCAGGGCCCAAAAGGTTCGGGAACTTGTCTGAAATCTCACAGCTCTCAGGTCATTGTCTTCCAAAGGGGGACCCAAGCTCAGTGCCTTCACTCCCAGACCCTGGTGTCCTCTCTGGCCTTATTTACTCCTGGTCCTCTGCCAGCCCTGCCACCAGATGGCCTTCTAACTCCTTGGTTGAAAGGCCCATCTCATTCAGCTTCCAGCTTCCTTTTTCTTTTCCTTTTGAGACGGAGTCTTGCTTTGTCGCCCAGGCTGGAGTGCAGTGGCATGATCTCGGCTCACTATAACTTCTGCTTCCTGGGTTCAAGCGATTCTCCTGCTTCAGCCTCCCAAGTAGCTGAGATTACAGGCACACACCACCATGCCCAGCTAATTTTTTTATTTTTATTTATTAATTTTTAAATTTTTATTTGTTTATTTATTTTTGAGACGGAGTCTCCCTCTGTTCCCCAGGCTGGAGTGCAGTGGCAGTATCTTGACTCACTGCAACCTCCGCCTCCTGGGTTCAAGTGATTCTCCTTCCTCAGCCTCCTGAGTAGCCGGGACTACAGGAGCCTGCCACCATGCCCGACTAACTTTTGTATTTTTAATAGAGATGGGGTTTCACCATGTTGGCCAGACTGCTCTCGAACTCCTGACCTTAGATGATCCACCTGCCTCGGCCTCCCAAAGTGCTGGGATTACAGGCATGAGCCACCATGCCCGACCTAATTTTTGTGTTTTTAGTAGAGATGGGGTTTCAACATGTTGGCCAGGCTGGTCTCAAACTCCTGACCTCAAGTGATCCACCCACCTCAGCCTCCCAAAATGTTGGGATTATAGGCATGAGCCACCGTGCCCATCCCACAGAATGTCTTTTGGTTTTGTTTTTGTTTTCTGTTTTGTTTTGTTTTGTTTGAAAAGGAGTCTCATTCTGTCGCCCAGGCTGGAGTGCAGTGGCACAATCTCGGCTCACTGCAACCTCCACCTCCCAGGTTCAAGAGATTCTCCTGCCTCAGCCTCCCAAGTAGCTGGGACTATAGGCGTAGGGACTGTAGGCGTATGCCACCACGCCTGGCTAATTTTTTGTATTTTTAGTAGACACGGGGTTTCACCATGTTAGCCAGGATGGTCTCGATCTCTTGACCTTGTGATCTGCTCACCTCAGCCTCCCAAAGTGTTGGGATTACAGGCGTGAGCCACAGCGCCTGGCCAAAATGTTTTTATGTTTATTTTTCTTAGTATGAAACTCCAGCGTATTAAAGAGCATTGAGAACGGTTGATCTGGTAAATCGCTATAAAGGCGGCATTTCTTTTTTTTTTTTTTTTTTTTTTTTTTGGCGAAGTGGGGGATGGAGTCTCATTCTGTCGCCCAAGCTGGAGTGCAGTAGTGTGATCTCGGCTCACTGCAAGCTCCGCTTCCCAGGTTCAAGCCATTCTCCTGCCTCAGCCTCCCAAGTAGCTGGGATTACAGGCGCCCGCCACCACGCCCAGCTAATTTTTTGTATTTTTAGTAGAGACAGGGTTTCACTGTGTTGGCCAGGCTGGTCTCGAACTCCTGACCTCATGATCCGCCCGCCTCGGCCTCCCAAAATGCTGGGATTAGAGGCGTGAGCCACCGCGCCAGGCCTAAAGGGGGCATTTCTAATACTGGAGAAAGGTGAACTTTTTTTTTTTTTTTTTTCCGAGACAGAGTCTCGCTGTGTCACCCAGGCTGGAGTGCAATGGCGCAATCTCAGCTTGCTACAACCTCCGCCTCCCGGGTTCAAGCAATTCTCCTGCCTCAGCCTCCTGAGTAGCTGGGCACCTGCCATCATGCCCAGCTAATTTTTGTATTTTTGTAGAGATGGGGGTTTCACCGTGTTGGCCAGGCTGGTCTTAAACTCCTGTCCTGACCTGAGGTGATCCACCCACCTCAGCTTCCCAAAGTGCTGGGATTACAGGCATGAGCCACTGTGCCTGACCAGGTGAACTATTTTATAAATAATATTGGAACATTTGGCTCATCTAGGGAAAAACAAGAGTCCCACCTCACACCTAATCAAAAAGTAAATTCCAGCAGATTAAATACCTGAATATGACAGGAAGGTACACACCAAATTCATGGGACAGATGGCCTGGGGAGGAATGAAACTTGGAAGGCGGTATCACGGTAAACTACCTTTATCTGTGATGATTTTATTTCCTTAAAATAAATTATACTACAAACATGACAGTACATTAACAAACCCTGTGGTAGGAATGGGGTTGTGTATTGTATTATACTTTGTATTTTTGAGAGTTTTTTAATTTCTTTTTTGTTGTTGTTGAGACAGAGTCTCACTCTGTCATCCAGGCTGGAGTCCAGTCGCGCAATCTTGGCTCACTGCAACCTCTGCCTCCCGGGTTCAAGCAGTTCTCTGCCTCAGCCTCCCAAGTAGCTGGGATTACAGGCATCCGCCACCACGTCAGGCTAATTTTTGTATTTTTAGTGGAGACGGGGTTTCACCATCTTGGCCAGACTGGTCTTGAACTCCTGACCTCATGATCCACCCACCTTGGGCTCCCAGAGTGCTGGGATTACAGGCATGAGCCACCGCGCCTGGCCGAGTTTTTTAATTTCTAAAAATAAAAATGAGTATACATCTAAAGTAGTAGAAGAAAATGCAGAGAATGTTTTATAATCTTAAAATAGAGCCTTCCTAAGAGTGAAGTGAAATAAAAAGTCAGAAAATAATATATTGATATAGATTTAACTACATGAAAATTTTAGGCCGGGTGCGGTAGCTCACACCTGTAATCCCACACTTTGGGATGCCAAGGTAGGCAGATCACTTGAGCCAGGAGTTCAAGACCAGCCTGAACAACACAGTGAGACCTGGTCTGTACAAAAAATACAAAATTAGCCAGGCGTGGTGGTACGTGGCTGTCGTCCTGTAGTCCCAGTTACTCAGGAGGCTGAGGTGGGAGGATCGCTTGAGCCCAGGTGGGGCAGAGTTTGCAGTGAGCAAGATCATGCCACCGCACTGCAGCCTGGGCAACAGGGTGAGACCTTGTCTCAAAAAGAAAAAAAAAGCTTTTTTAAAGATAGATAGAAGAAAATGTTTGCAATATGTATAACACATACAGTATATAGAACCCTCATATCAATATATATAATTTCCAAAGAAAAAGTGGATAAAGAATATGAGCAATTCATTCACAAAAAATACAAATAGCCAAAAGACATGAAAAAGAAAAAAACATTGTTAATAAAATAATTTTTTAATCTATCCAACTGGCAAAATTAAAAGGGTTGATGATATTCAATTTTGGTAAAGGAAGACATAGGCACACTTGTATATTGGCACAAACTTATTGAGAGCAGTTTGACCAAATTGCGCATGTCCTTTGACTCAGAAATTCCACTTATGAAAATCTACCCCCACAGAAAGACTGTAAGATACTCATGAGGCTGAACATTTTTTGAAACAAAGTCTATCGATATTGGGGTAAGGAGATTTGTTTTGTACACACAGTGGAACACTAATTATAAAGTCGTCAAAAAGTATGAGGTAGACTGTATATATTCCTGTGGAAAAATATAAATGAGATGTTAAATGAAAGAAGCAAGTTGCCAAGCAATATTTGTAGTATGGTTACATATCTCCAAATAAATGTGTCATATGTATGCTTTTAGGTACACCAAGGTGGGACTGGAAGGGATCACAGTACACTGTTAATAGTTATCAAATTTGTTCGTCCTTCTTTAAAAAGAAAATTTCAACTTAATTATATCCCTTTCACATTAAAATGTCAAATAAAATTGGGGGAAAAGCCACCTACAGCCCCACCACCCATAGGCTAGAATTTTTACATATTTTTTGCCAGTCTATTTTTTTTCTTTTTTTTTTTTTTTTTTTGAGATGGGAGTCTCCCTCTGTTGCCCAGGCTGGAGTGCACTGGCATGATCTCAGCTCACTGCAACCTCTGCCTTCCAGGTTCAAGTGATTCTCCTGACTCAGCCTCCCAAGTAGCTGGGATTACAGGCACATGCTACCACGCCTGGCTAATTTTTGTATTTTTAGTAGAGACAGGGTTTCACCATGTTGGCCAGGCTGGTCTCGAACTCCTGACCTCAGGTGATCCACCCGCCTCAGCCTCCCAAAGTGCTGGGGTTACAGGCCATGAGCCACCACGCCCGGCCTCTTTTTTTCCAACCATAGGATTTGGTCTCTTGTTTTAGACAGTTATTATCTGATCCTCTCTCTCTCTCTCTTTTTTTTTTTTTTTTTTTTTTTTGAGATAGAGTCTCACCCTGTCACCCAGGCTGGAATGCAGAGGCGCGATCTCGGCTCACTGCAACCTCCGCCTCCCAGGTTCAAGCAGTTCTCTGCCTCAACCTCCCAAGTAGCTGGGATTACAGGCGTCAGCCACCACGCCTGGCTAATTTTATATATAATATAAAATATAATTATATATATATTTTGTTTGTTTGTTTTAGTAAAGACGGGTTTTCACCATCTTGGCCAGGCTGGTATTGAACTCCTGACCTTGTGATCCATTGTCCCCCCCCCCCCAGCCTCCCAAAGTGCTGGGATTACAGGCGTGAGCCACCGTGCCTGGCCACATCTGATCCTCTCTACAGTTTTGTAGCCAGCTTTTTTCAAACACATGCCTCAGTTGTAGTGGCTGTTTAATATTATGTTTTTATAGTTGGAGGCCCTACTCCTTAAAACCTATGAATGTAAACCTCCCATGCAAGCCTGAGCACTCACCATGCTCACCACCTGAGCTCAGGTGGGGAACAAGCGAATGAGAGACAGGACCAGGTACTTTCTGGGTGGGACAAGTTGAGAGGGTCTGTGACAGGTCACAGCAGCACTAGGGAGAAGTGCCCCCCCCACCAACCCTGATGTGATTTGGGTAGGGATGGTGGGCCTTCGCCAGCCACACCTGGGCCATTCTGTCTTCTTGCCTTCCTGGCCTTGCCTTCCCCTATTCCAGCTTTCTGCCAGGTAAACAGTACTTTCCAGCACTACCAAATAAAGATTTAAGGACTGCTAGCCCATTTCCTCTTACCCCGGGGAAAGAAAGTAGGTCCACAGGAAGGAAGGCTGCCTCCCTCCCCTTCTTCTATCCCCCAAGTGAAAGAGGTGGTTGGTGGCCACAGCAGGTGGGCCTGGCCAGGATGCCTGGGTTGGCAGTGAAGGAAGTAGCATGGCACTCAGCTAACCTTGGGCCAGATGCAGCAAGGTTGGGACTGAAGAAAAGGGGAGTTCAGGAACGTCGGTTCCTCTCCTGTTTTCTCTCAGCCCATGGGTGAGACCCTCTGTCACACTCCACTCCCTTTCCCCTGCCCTAGGTCAGCAGTCATTTGGAAAGAGCTTGCTCTGCCGCCGGCCATAGTTGTTGCCGGTTCACCTCCCCACCCCTCTCCCATCATCCCCTGGTAAGGCTGGCTGAGAGAAATTCCCCTGAAAACATTTATTTTACTCAGTTTATTGATAAGTGATAATAAAAGATAAGTATTACATATTTGTGTATTTATTAATGGCCCAGAGTAGAGCATTCAGATATTTTCCCAGTCTGATATATGGTTTCAGGTGAGAAAATAAGGGATTTATATAGTGACAATATTTTTAAGTGAAAAGTGGAATACATAGTCAAAGAATTTGGGCACTGCCTTGGTGGCTGGAGGCAGGTCAGAAAATGTCAGTTGGCATGGTAGAACTTCTAGGATGCTGAAATAGTTTGTGGAGACACAAGTAAGAATTTTTTTTTTTTTTTTTTGAGACGGAGTCTTGCTCTGTCACCTAGGCTGGAGTGCAGTGGCACGATCTCGGCTTACTACAAGCTCCACCTCCCGGGTTCACATCATTCTCCTGCCTCAGCCTGCCGAGTAGCTGGGACTGCAGGCGCCCGCCACCAGGCCTGGCTAATTTTTTGTATTTTTTAGTAGAGATGGGATTTCACCATGTTAGCCAGGATGGTCTTGATCTCCTGACCTCGTGATCCGCCCGCCTCGGACTCCCAAAGTGCTGGGATTACAGGCGTGAGCCACCGCGCCTGGCCGAGAATATTTTAAACTACCACACTTACCATGCATGTGGTAAACTATCAGTCTGTATTTATCAGTGATGGTTATTTCCTAATACCCAGGAGGCATCCATGTGAGCCACCCTTCCATTGCTTTAAGACCAAGGGAGTGAGTGACCAGCAGGATTCAAGATGGCAGCTCTGCCGAGGAGTGGGAGTCCCAGCTAACTTCTGCTCCCTGCTCTCCCACCAACAGCCTACACCGATTTCTTCCTCCCGCTGCTAAGCCGCTGTCCCTCCGCCATGGGAATAAAGAATAAGGATGGGGAGACCCCTGGCCAAATTTTGGGCTGGGGACCCCCCTGGGATTCTGCTGAAGAGGAGGAAGAAGATGATGCCTCCAAGGAGCGGGAATGGAGACAGAAGCTCCAGGGTGAGCTGGAGGACGAGTGGCAGGAAGTCATGGGGAGGTTTGAAGGTGAGAAGTCCACTGCTATCCACAGCTGCCCTTCCCCACTGGCTGCTTTCCATCTGCATGAATGCGTCACACTAGGCTCCTCTGCCCCCTCCTCTGTGCTTCCCTGCTTCTTGGGGCCCATCACCTTCTCACAGCCTCTCTCCAACTACCCCCATCCCACCCTCCCAAACAGGTGATGCCTCCCATGAAACCCAGGAACCTGAGTCCTTCTCAGCCTGGTCAGATCGCCTGGCCCGGGAACATGCCCAGAAGTGCCAGCAGCAGCAGCGAGAAGCAGAGGGATCCTGTCGACCCCCACGTGCTGAGGGCTCCAGCCAGAGCTGGCGACAGCAGGAGGAGGAGCAGCGGCTCTTCAGGGAGCGAGCCCGGGCCAAGGAGGAAGAGCTGCGTGAGAGCCGAGCCAGGAGGGCGCAGGAGGCTCTAGGGGACCGAGAACCCAAGCCAACCAGGGCCGGGCCCAGGGAAGAGCACCCCAGAGGAGCGGGGAGGGGCAGCCTCTGGCGATTTGGTGATGTGCCCTGGCCCTGCCCTGGGGGAGGGGACCCAGAGGCCATGGCTGCAGCCCTGGTGGCCAGGGGCCCCCCTTTGGAGGAACAGGGGGCTCTGAGGAGGTACTTGAGGGTCCAGCAGGTCCGCTGGCACCCTGACCGCTTCCTGCAGCGATTCCGAAGCCAGATTGAGACCTGGGAGCTGGGCCGTGTGATGGGAGCAGTGACAGCCCTTTCTCAGGCCCTGAATCGCCATGCAGAGGCCCTCAAGTGACCCTAGGGAAGAAGCAAGAAACTTCGGGGCTGCAGCCTCAGGATGAGGCAGAAGGAAGGGTA
This sequence comes from Homo sapiens, assembly GCF_000001405.40. NCBI lineage: Eukaryota > Metazoa > Chordata > Mammalia > Primates > Hominidae > Homo > Homo sapiens. Next base: position 2,814,518 of record NT_167248.2, read on the forward strand.
AGGGAAAGGATGGGGACCACAAGGAAGAGCCAGGTGCTGCTCAGCAGAGGATATGGGTGGGAGCGAAAGTTGTAACAAGTGGGGGTGGGGGGTGCGGGCCGCCACCACTGCTCCTTGACTCTGCCGTTTCCTAATAAGACCTGGTTCCACATCTCACTCCCAGTGTCTCCTCTGTCTTTTTCCATTGCTGTGGTTTTCATCACCCATGACATCTCCTTTCCCGCCCCGCCTGCTGAAACCCACAGCTCCCACACACCTGCAACACACACGCACACGCTAACACGGGCTCTGAGCTGGAGGCAAGAAGCCTCTGCATGCCCCCTCAGTTCAGCCCTAAGAAGGCCCAGTTTGCCATCCAGTCTCACTCCACTCCCTACACTGGGGTCTTGTCCACCCTGCAATCTGTGGCTGGAGAAATAGATGCGAACAGAGGCAAAAAGGGGAACAAAACCAGTTTCCCTCCCCTCCCTGGCTCCCCAAGCTGAACCACATCCTCCTCCCCACTTAACACCCCCTTCCCCCAACACAGGGCTTTCCCTTTGCTGAGTCACTGAATGAGCGAGTTGGGGGTAGCCGGCGCTGGGGGGCCATGAGGAGGCTGGGGGAGGATGGGGAATACAAGCAGAATGGCTGGAGGAAGAGCCCTGTGGGGGAGTGGAATTTCAGTTGCTAAAATTAGGAGCAGGGGAAGGAGGTGGAAAGAGCAAAATTATGTAACATGGGTTGTCTGTTCTTGGGCAACTGGAGCTCCACACCCAAAGCCAGCCAGGCTGCTGGCTCCATCCATCTCTGCCCTCTAGCTTGTCAGTTGTATCTCTCTTCCTCCAGGGCCCCAATCCTCATCTCCGCCATTCAGCTGCTGCCCCATCCTAAACCTGAGTTCATCTCTGGGCAGCCCAGGCATGGCCTTCCCTATAAACATTTCCTTTTCCAAGAACCAGTAGTTGAAGTCCTGAGAGGTGGAGGGAGAGTCTGGGATTCCCACGGAGGAGAGAGGGGGGCTCCCTGGAAACTAAGATAGGTAGACCCCACTACCATCGCCCAGGACACAACTGGGAACTTGGCAAAAAGAAAGGACAGGGCTGCAAGGAGAGTACAGACATGTGCTGGTGAGTGCACTGTCTGCATAGTTACACCAGAGCATCTTATCAATCAGAAACTTATCTTTCAGGTTTTGAGCCCAGTTCTCTACAGGAGAATCCCAGGAGTGGAAGTGGAAGGCAGTAGAAGACAGGGAGGGCACGCCTCTGGGAACACGGGAACATGGGTGGGCATGAGATCCTTGAATAAGACAGCCTGAAGTTCGGAAGAGACCAAGGCCTCTGAAGGACCAGGCAGATGTTCAGGGTGCAGGAGGGGGAAGGGCTGGTGAGAAAGATCCTGTGAGAGGAAGCTGCTGTGATTCAGAGAAGAGACTTCAAGCTGTGTGTGACCCTGGCGTCCGGTTCCTCTCACAGGCTGGAGCTTTTCGGAAGTGGCATGCAAAGAGTCCAGGTTTGGCCTTGGGGGGAGTTGGGGTTAGGATCCCTAAGCTGGAGGTTGAGAAGTAAATTACAGAAAACTCTGGTGACCAAATTTGCTCCTCCACCCAGGAGATTTCTCACTGGTTTTTAAGCACATCATTTCCCCTTCTGCAAGAGTTACATAAAACCAAAGCAAAATAAGCCCTGAAACCTGGGTCCACCGGACCACAGTCTTTTCAACGTCCCTTCCTGGTGTCTGGCCCCCAGCCCTGGTGGGGGTTCCCCTGAGATAAGGGCTGTTCACTTTCTCTGACCACATGGTTTCCGCTTCTGTGTCTCTTGTTTCCTAGGCTGATAAAAATACTGAGCCCTAGAGGCCCTGGCTTCCTCTGACCCCTTGGGGCAGGCAGCACGCATCCTGTCCAGCATGGTGGGGGCAGGGACAGGGGCCAGGGATTCCCAAGGGGTGACTCAGTGCCTGCCATGAAACAGTGGGTAGGTGGAAGTGTATCTCTGCTCTCTAGAGCTGGCACCAGGAGTTGAGTCTCAGTGGAGGATGCATTGGGATTCAATTGGAGGAACAGGCCTGGAAAAGAATAATGAGATTGAAGAGGGTCAGTTTGAGGACTCAGGTTGGGGCAGGTTTGGATTAAGTTAGGAAAAGGATCTGGGAGGGACTCTGTTCAGTGTAGGTCAACTGAGCATTATGTAGCCCAAAGATAAATTTAAACCCTGCTTCAAGCTTACAATCTAGTGGGGAGGCAGACCCATACCTAGTTAACTGATTCAAGGCATGATGAGTAAACTTTAAGATGATTACAGAAAGAGGGGAGATTAAGTCCATTTGAAAGCATCCAGGGAGCCTCTGAGGAGACAGCATTTGAACTTGCTCTAATGAATGGGTTCACTAGGTGGAGGTGGATGGAAAGGTTCCATAGGCGAATAACACGTCTTGAGCGAGCCTGACAAGTCAGAAAATGCAGTATGTTCTGGGAAAGGAGCGTCCTGAGGGAGAAGAAGCACAGGTGTGAGGGAACATGTGATGAAGAAAGGACCACAGAAAGTCAAGGTCAGAGATTGGACTGCATCCTGTGGGCAGTGGTCCAGGTGACGATGAAAAAGAGGGAGAACAGGTGAGTGCTGCAGTACAGACAAGGAGTAAGAAAACGGCCATCATCTTGTGAATTAATACCTACTGTGTGTTAACCAGCCCTTTTCCTAACACCACAAATCCTCTCAACGTCTGTCCAAAAGGTGGGTGGTGGTGGCCAGGCACCTCACTCCTGTAATCACAGCACTTTGGGAGGCCAAGGTGGGAGCACTTTGGGAGGATCACTTGAGGCCAGGAGTTCGAGACCAGCCTGGCCAACATGGTGAAACCCCGTCTCTACTAAAAATATAAAAACTAGCTGGGTGTGGTGGTGGGCACCTGTAATCCCAGCTACTCAGGTGTCTGAGGCACAAGAATCACTTGAACCCGGGAGGCAGAGGTTGCAGTGAGCTGAGATCATGCCTCTGCTCTCCAGTCTGGGTGACAGAGCAAGACTCTGTATCCAAAAAAAAAAAAAATTATTAAGCACCTATTAGGAGCAGGGCACTGCTTGACAATAGGTATAAATAATAAAGTCACTGCCTTCATAGAACTTGCAGTCTAATGAGACAGTATACAAATAATAACTATACATTATAGTTATAATGTATAGGTATGCCTGCTTAGGGTAATAAAGTGCTCAATGAAGGTTTGAGGTACCAGCATGACTCTCAGGTGGAGATTTCCAGAAAGCAGGTCTGGAGCTCAAGAGAAGTTGGGTCTGGAGGAACAGATTTGGGCATCATTCCCTTCCCAGTAGAGGTTGAGCCTTTGAGTGGACAGGATCTTCAAGGGAGGGGGCGGAGTGACCAGAAGAGCCCTGAGCATGATCAAAGGAAGAGAACCAATAAAGGAGAGGTTGGGGAGCAGTCAGAGAAGTAGGGCACGGGGGGCGGGGGATGCCAAGCAGAGACAGGGCAGCCATGTTTGAGGCTTCAAAGAGGTCTAGTAAATGAGGGTTGAAAAGATTGTTGGGTTCAGGAACTAGACGATTACAAATTTTGAGAAAACCGTTTCCATTTAATAGAGGGGCAGAAATCACTTTACATAGGTTGAGGAATGAGTGGGAGGTGAGGAAAAGGAGGTGGTGGGCATGAGGTCAGAATGGTGAACACAGAATAACTGAGAATCATCTCTTAGTTCTACCCACAGATTTTACAGTTGAGGGAAATTTTACCAGTTCCTGAAAAAGTGGTTCGTTAAGGGGGCTAGTCTTTTGAGACATCACACGAAAACGGAAGGTGAGATAGACTGGACATTTGAGGGAGAAACATTCCAAGGAAGGATCTTTTTTGTTGTTTATTTTCAAGAAATAAAATTGAAGGTAAAATGAAGATGCTTAAAGAGACAAAGATAGGCCAGGTGCAGTGGCTCACACCTGTAATCCCAGCACTGTGGGAGGCCAAGGTGGGCAGATCACTTGAGGCCAGGGGTTCAAGACTAGTATGGCCAACATGGCAAAACCGCATCTCTACGAAAGATACAAAAATTAGCCAGGCGTGGTGGCACATGCCTGTGGTCCCAGCTATTCACTGAGGTGGGAGAATCGCTTGAACTCAGGAGGCAGAGGTTGCAGTGAGCCGAGATCACACCACTGCACTCCAGCCTGGGTGACAGAGCGAGACTCAGTCTCAAAAAAAAAAAAAAAAAGCCCAGGTGCGGTGGCTCACCCTTGTAATCCCAGCGCTTTGGGAGGCTGAGGTGGGCAGACTATAGATATCAGGAGTTCAAAACCAACCTAGCCAACATAGTGAAATGCTGTCTTTACTAAAAATACAAAAATTAGCTGGGCGTGGTGGCACACGCCTGTAACCCCAGCTACTCAGGAGGCTGAGGCAGGAGAATCACTTGAACCCGAGAGGTAGAGGTTGCAGTGAGCCGAGATCGCGCCACTGCACTCCAGCCTGGGCAACAGAGCAAGCCTATCCCAAAAACAAACAAGAAAGGGAGAGATAGTGAAAACATAAGCAAGAAGTGGGGAGAGAATATAGTAAAGATAGAGGAAGTGGGATAGAGTACAGATAAAAGGATCAGTCTTGGAAACAAGAAAAAGTACTGTGAGTCAGTATGTAAGGAAAGATTAAATATAACAAAATTAAGGAAAAAGAGGGAAGTGAGATCCACACTTGATGGCCTTAAGCTCAATGAAATATTAATAGATGAGAGTGAAGAACATCAGAGGCACGGAGATTTAGAACATCACGCACAGGAGTATAATGGGGAGTCAACAAAGAATGAGTAAAAGTTGTGTCCAAGAACACTGATGACTCTCTGAGATTAGCTGGCCAGGATTAGTTATAGGCCGCTTATGGTGACTCAGCTGTCTACTGCAGCGCTTGGCAGCCTAAGACAAAGCCCCAAGAATGAGACCACTTAGTTTACCCAAGTCAATTTTTGAGACAGAGTTTCACTCTTGTTGCCCAGGCTGGAGTGCAATGGCTCAATCTTGGTTCCCTGCAACCTCTGCCTCCCGGGTTCAAGCGATTCTCCTCCCTCAGCCTCCAGAGTAGCTGGGATTACAGTTGCCCACCATCACGCCCAGCTAATTTTTGTATTTTTAGTAGAGATGGGGCTTCACCACATTGGCCGGGCTGGTCTCGAACTCCTGACCTCAGGTGATCCGCCCACCTTGGCCTCCCAAAGTGCTGGGATTACAGGTGTGAGCTACGGTGCCCGGCGGTAAGAGATTCTAAAATGCAGACAAAGTGGAGTTGAAATTGTTGACCATGCAGTACATGTTAAATCAACAAGCAAAACCAGGAAAGCAGAAGCAGCCGGAAGTCTTGGTAAGAATAAAGAACTGATTCAAGGGGAGGCAGAGAGTGGGAGATGTGAAAAGTGAGTGGTTGTGATGAGAAGGGTAATTCAGAGATCAAGATCTTGAAGGCATAATTCTTCCAAGTGATGCTGGGGTTTGAGGTACAACCTTACTCCTGGGTGGCTAAAATGGAGGAGGGAAGAAGAGGCTGTAAAACCAGTAGACTTGAGAAACTTGGAGAATTGAGAGGCCAGACTGTAAGACTCATCTGATCTGTGTGGCTTCTTTTTTTATTTTTATTTTTTTCCTCTGAGACGAAGTCTCGCTCTGTCACCCAGGCTGGAGTGCAGTGGTGTGATCTGGGCTCACTGCAAGATCCGCCTCCCGGGTTAATGCCATTCTCTCGCCTCAGCCTTCCGAGTAGCTGGGACTACAGGCACCCACCACCACGCCCAGCTAATTTTGTTTTTGTATTTTTAGTAGAGACGGGATTTCACCTTGTTAGCCAGGATGGTCTCGATCTCCTGACCTCGTGATCCACCCGCCTCAGCCTCCCAAAGTGCTGGGATTACAAGTGTGAGCCACTGCGCCCAGCCGATCTTTGTGGCTTTTAAAGTCACTAAAGATGGTGGTAGGAGGCCGGGTGCGGTGGGTCATGCCTGTAATCCCAGCACTTTGGGAGGCTGAGGCGGGTGGATTGCTTGAGCTCAGGAGTTCAAGACCAGCCTAGGCAACATAGCAAAACCCTATCTCTGGAAAAAAAAAAAAATACAAAACTTAGCCGGGCATGGTGGTATGCGCCTGTAGTCCTAGCTACTCAGGAGGCTGACGTGGGAGGATCACTTGAGCCCAGGAGGTCGAGGCTGCAGTGAGCCAAGATCACGCCACTGCACTCCAGCCTGGGTGACAGAGCAATACCTTGTCTCAAAAAACAAACAAACAAGGATGATGGTAGGGATAAGATGTGGAGAAAGACTGAGCTAGTTATACAAGTTGTTAAGAGCATAATAAATATTTTGATGGATAAGATTGTGCTGTGAAGACAGGAAGAGCATGGCAAATGCAAAAGGCACGTGCTTTGGGAGATGAGGAGGAGTTTATCAGTGGTCTGGGGGAGAGAAAATAACGACCCCTCTCTTCTGCCTTCATTCCCCTAGTGATGGAGGTCGAAGAAAGAGCAACCTTCACCACAGAGAGGAGTAGCATCATTAGGGGAAAGCCAGGTTTCAAAATGCCCAGAGGAAAATGCTTTCAAACATAGAAGACAGGATTTGAAAATGTGAAGAGTTCCACCAAATATTGTGAAATGGATTGGTAGAAGGGTCCTTGTGGGGTAGGGAATTGAATCCAGGGAGGTTAAATCCCAGTGGGAATTCAGAAGACTAAGTCTGGAGAGTTTAGCTTCTAGGAGCAGGAGGTTGTTGCCTCTGGAATTCAGAATGGAAGATGCACTGCATCCATTGTGAGGGGAAACAAGTGCCTCAAAGGGGTCTTATAGGGATGCACAAGATAAGTTCCATGGCTTTAAACACCATCCTCATGCTGACCATGCCCAGGTTTCTTTCTCTAGCTTGGACCTTGCCCCTGAAATCCAGATGTGTATCTGCCCAGTGACATCTCTACTTGCATGTCTAATAGACTTAGACTTACCACACCCAAAATAGAATTTTTTAGTTTTTCCATCCATCAGAATCCTGCTTCTCTCCCAGTATCTACATCTCCCACCCATCAATCCATCATCTAGTCCTGTTGTTTCTACCCCTGGAATGTATAATATATCCCAAACTTGTCTACTTCTCTCCATCTCCATGGCTGCCACTATTTTCTCTTCACCATCAATGCCACTGCCACCTGTCTCCTACCAGCCAGCCTAAACACAGGAGCCACAGTGATCTTTTAAAAACAAGTCCAGGCTGGGCGCGTTGGCTATGCCTATAATCCCAGCACTTTGGGGGGCCGAGGTAGGTGGATCACGAGGTCAGGAGTTCAAGACCAGCCTGCCCAACATGATGAAACCCTATCTCTACTAAAAATACCAAAATTAGCCAGGCACGGTGGCGCATGCCTGTAATCCCAGCTACTCGGGGGGCCGAGGCAAGAGAATCGCTTGAACCTGGGAGGTGGAAGTTGCAGTGAGCCAAGATCATGCCGTAGCACTCCAACCTGGGCAACAGAGCGAGACGCCATCTCAAAAAAAAAAAAAAGTCCAGGCAAGGCTCAGTGGCTCATGCCTGTAATCCCAACACTTTGCGAGGCTAAGGTGCAAGGATTGCCTGAGGCCAAGAGTTGAAGGCTGCAGTGAGCTATGATGGTGCCATTGCACTCCAACCTGGGCAGAAAAGTGAGACTCCATCTCTTAGAAAAAAAAAACCAGGCCGGGTGCAGTGGCACATGTCTGTAATTCCAGCACTTCGGGAGGCTGAGGCAGGCGGATCACTTGAGGTCAGGAGTTCAAGACCAGCCTGGCCAACATGGTGTACTTTCTATACTAAAAGTACAAAAATTAGCCAGGCATGGTGACATGCACCTATAATCCCAGCTACTTGGGAGACTGACATAGGTGGATTGCTTAAACCTGGGAGGCAGAGGTTGCAGTGAGCCGAGATTGTGCCACTGCACTCCAGCCTGGGTGACAGAGCGATTCTGTCTTAAAAGAAAAAAAAAAAAAAAAGGCTGGGTGCGGTGTCTCACGCCTGTAATCCCAGCACTTTGGGAGGCCGACGCAAGTGGATCGCCTGAGGTCAGGAGTTCGAGACCAGCCTGGCCAAGATGGTGTACTTTCTCTACTAAAAGTACAAAAATTAGCCAGGCATGGTGGCATGCACCTATAATCCCAGCTACTCAGGAGGCTAAGACAGGAGAATCGTTTGAACCCGGGCAGCAGAGGTTGCAGTGAGCTGAGATTACGCCATTGCACTCCAGCCTGGGCAACAGAGTGAGACTCCGTCTCCAAAAAAAAGAAAGAAAAAAAATCCAGGGCCAGTGTGGTGACTCATGCCTGTAATCCCAAAACTTTGGGAGGCTGGCCCAGCATGGTGGCTCACACCTGTAATCCCAAAACTTTGGGAGGCTGAGGCAGGCGGATCACCTGAGGTCAGGAGTTTGAGATCAGCCTGACTAACATGGTGAAACCCCATCTCTACTAAATACAAAAAATTAGCCGGGAATGGTGGCATGCACCTGTAATCCCAGCTACTTGGGAGGCTGAAGCAGGAGAATCGCTTGAACCCAGGAGGCAGAGGTTGCAGTGAGATGAGATCAGTCATTGCACTCCAGCCTGGGCAACGAGCGAAACCGCCTCTCAAACTAACAAAAAAAAACTTTGGGAGGCCAAGATGGGCAGATCACTTGAAACCAGGAGTTCGAGACCAGCCTGAGCAGCATAGACCCTGTCTCAACAAAAATTTTAAAATATTTTTTAAAATTAGCCAGGCACAGTGGCACACACCTGTAGTCCTAGATACTTGGGAAGCTGAGGTGGAAGGATGACTTGAGCCCATGGTTTTGAGGTTGCAGTGGGCTATGATGGTGCCACTGCACTCCAGCCTAGGCCACAGAGCAAGACACCATGTCAAAAGAAAAAAAAATCCAATCACCTCTGCTCACCTCCCTCTTCTCTCTCTCTCTCTCTCTCTCCCTCCCCCTCTCTCCCCTGCAACACACACACACACACACACACACGCACCACACACTCTGACGACCTTTAAAGGCTTCCTGTGGCTGGATGAAATCTAGAGGCTTTACCCTTCTTGCATGGCCCTGCATGACCTGGCCCCTGCCCTCCTCTCTGACCTCATCTCCCACCCGCCTCCCAGTCTCTCTCTCTGCTCCAGCCACACTGGCCTTCTGTTTGTCGTCAACACCCCCAGCTTGGTTCCGCCTTCCAGCCTTTGCAGTAGCTGCTCCCTTTACCTGAAATGCTTTGCTCCCAAACTTTTACCTGGTCACTATTTTTTGTCATTTGGGTCTCAGCTCCAGTGCCACCCAAACACTCAAAGAGGATTTTGCTGACTACTGTATTTAAAAGTAGCTCCCTGCCACTCTTACAACATCAGCCTGTCTTATTTTCTCATAGTACCAATTTCTTCTTCAGTTTCTTTCTTTTCCGTCTGGCCTCACTGGAATACAAGCTCCACAGGTGCTGGTACCTTCTCTGATCCCTTTGCCTCCATGTCCCTCCTGCCTTAGGACAATGCCCAGCATGTGTTAGGCACGCAGATACTCACTAAATGGAGGAATGGATGAATAATTCATAAAGCAGGATAAAGTTCAACTTTAGGCTTGTGGCTCAGATTGGACTTACATTTAGAGTCAGATTTAAGTTTAGTGTTAGGAGTGGTGGTAAACTGGTTTCAAGATTAGCCCTAGAAACAGGGTTGGGTTGGGGTAGAGGAGAAGTTTTATTTAGGGGGTTATTAATTGGGATGTGTTTAGATTTGAGGTTAGGGTTACAGTTGGGGTTGAGTTTGAGTTGTGATTTGGGTTGAGGTTAAATTTGGGTTAGGGTTGATGTTGGTATTAAATCCCAATTCAGGTTTTGAGGCTAAGTTCAAGTTTGAAGCTAATGTCATTTCAGTCTCATTTGGAGGCTTCAGAGATTTCACTAGTTTCTCCACAAAGACCACTATAAAGACTGTATTTCCCTGAGTCTGGGGCACAAGACTCCAGTCATCAGCTCTCCCACCCAGGGAAAGTCCCAAACCAACTGCTGGCCTGCCCAAGAAAGAAACCAAATTCATACAACCTCCGAAACTGAGATTGAAACCAAGATTGGCCCATCTCAAGGAGCATCCTTCGCATATCTCACATGCACGTGACACTGAGCCTCAGCCCAGTCTTACCCTTCCTTCCTCTGTGTCTCTCATGTCTCCCCATCACCCTTCTTGCCTTCCCTTTTTTGTCTTTCAATGTCCCATTCTTCCTCTTTAATTTAAATTTCTCTCTGTGTCTCACTGTTAATTGCAATACCTTTTTTTGTTTGCTTGTTTTGTTTTGTTTTGTTTTTTGGTTGGTTTGTTTGAAATGGAGTCTCACTTTGTTGCCCAGGCTGGAGGGCAGTGGCACGATCTCGGCTCACTGCAACCTCCGCCTCCTGGGTTCAAGCAGTTCTCCTGCCTCAGCTTCCCTAGTAGCTAGGATTACAGGCGCGTGCCACCATGCTCGGCTAATTTTTTGTATTTTTAGCAGTGATGGAGTTTCACCGTATTAGCCAGGATTGTCTCTATCTCCTGACCTTGTGATCTGCTCGCCTCAGCCTCCCAAAGTGCTGGGATGACAGGCATGTGCCACTGCTCCTGGCCTTGTAATAACATTTTATATTTTAATATAGCTCAGCTGGGGTCCCAGTCCATCAGCTCATACCATTAGAGAAGCAGAAAGAGACAACAGGAAGCAAAAAGGACCCTGAGAGAAAGGGCAACACAGAGAAAAAGAAAGGAGCAGGGGCTAAAAGGGAAACCCACACTGACACAAGAGATAATAAGGTTAAAAGAATGAGAAGAAGGTTGGGCCCAGTGGCTCACGCCCATAATCCCAGCACTTTGGGAGGCCAAGGCTGGTGGGTCACCTGTGGTCAGGAATTCAAGACCAACCTGGCCAACATGGTGAGACCCCGTCTCTACTAAAAATACAAAAAAAAATTTGGCGGGCTTGGTGGCGTGTGCCTGTAATCCCAGCTACTCGGGAGGCTGAGGCAGGAGAATAGCTTGAACCTGGGAGGCAGAGGTTGCAGTGAGCCAAGATCGTGCCACTGCACTCCAGCCTGTGCGACAGTGAGAAACTGTCTCAAAAAAAAAAAAAGGAAAAGAAATTTTCTGACCTATCTCATCTGATAGTAGGTTATAAGACCCTCATTCCAGAAGAGGTTCTGCCCTATACCTGGGAGGAAGGAATGCTGTACAGAGAGACCAAGAAGAATATGGCCAGGCCTTGCTGGGATCCCCCCAGTCCCAGTCTGTGACCATTAGATGATACTCCTTTTGTTCAATTACATTTCTGCACAGCTGTTCATTCTTCATCAAATCTAAGCATAAAAATAGTTTTCCCCTGGGTCCTTGGGTCTTCATTTCTGAAGGCTCCCATGTCACCTAAAACTTTGATTAAATAAATGTATTATGCTTTTCTCTTGTTAATCTGTCTTTTATTATAGGAGTATTGGCCATAACCCTTATGATGGGTCAGGAAGGGATCACCCCTTTCTGCCCCTACAGAAATAATAGCTAAGACTAGTAAAGCATAAAAGGCAAAGGGGCAGGTCCTCAAGTAGAGAAGAACAGGAGAAATAGCTCATACACACCCAGAATGTTACTTACATGTCCCTCCATGTTACACCAAGACCCCTCAGGGACCTTGTGCCTGGGGAGAGAAGTGGTCTGCCCCATGCAACAGTGGGCTTTACCCCGGGTCACCACCAGCCCCAGCTCCAACCCCTCTAACACTCTCCAAGTAAAATCACATCAGTAGCAGTAATAATATTTGAGGTGACAAGTTGGTATTATCTCAAACTTAGGAAAAGTGAATAAAGTCATCTTTAGAAACTGCTTTTTTTAAACCTTGTAACTTGCAAGCTAAGTGAAAATGGGCTCATGTATGAGAATGTTCGTGTTAGACATTTTTTGTGTTAGACAAAAACTAGAAACAAACCAAATCCCCATCAACAGAATATATTAGAATATATTGATACAATAGAATATTACATCATAATTTTTTTTAAAAACATTACTGATACATACAACCACGTATATGAATCTCACAAACATAATGCTGACTGAAAGAAGTCAAACAGAAATGAGTACATTCTGTGTGATTTCATTTATATGATGCCCCAAACCAGGAGGAAATAATCTATGGTGATAAAAGTGAGAGAGTGGTTGGTTATCTTTGGAGGGTATCAGCAGGGAGGGGGCATGAGGGAACCTGCTGGGGACCTGAAAATACGTGGAGCTGGGTGGTGGCTACATACAGATGGAAAAATTCATCAGCTGTACACTTAAGAGGTGTCCACCTCATACCTAAGTTACATATCAATAAAAAGGAAAAAAATTTTGGAAACTTTTTTTTTTTTTTTTGAGACAGAGTCTTGCTCTGTCCCCCAGGCTGGAATACAGTGGTGCGATCTTGACTCACTGCAGCCTCCGCCTCCCAGGTTCAAATAATTCTCCAGCCTCAGCCTCCCGAGTAGCTGGGACTGCAGATGCGCACCAGCACGCCTGGCTAATTTTTGTATTTATTATAGAGATGGGGTTTCACCATGTTGGCCAGCTGGTCTCAAACTCCTGACCTCAAGTAATCCGCCCACCTCAGACTCCCAAAGTGCCAGGATTACAGGTGTGAGCCACTGCACCAGGCCTGGAACAATTTTAAAATAATGTATTGGCTCTGCAAATGCAGCTTCAGAACAAGTCCCTTAGCTGTCCCCACCCCACCCTAAGTCACCACCCTTAAGCCTCACCCATGTGGAATTCTGAAACTTCCTTTGTAGAAAACTTTGGAAGGTGTCTGCCACATTGATCCTGGAATGTGTGTTTATTTGGGGTTATATAAATCTGTTCTGTGGAAGCCACCTGAAGTCAGGAAGAGATGGAGGGCATCCTTCAGGAGTGAGATGAGACCTCATCATACTTGACTGTCCAGCATCATCTCTGAGTAAGGGGACCAAAAAATTTATCTTCCAAACTAGGACACTTTCAAGAGTGGAAGGGGGATCCATTAATATTTTCACCTGGACAAGAGGCAAACACCAGAATGTCCCCGATGAAGGGGATATATAATGGACCTTCTTGATGTGAAACCTGCCAGATGGGCTGGAAAGTCCGTATACTGGGACAAGTATGATTTGAGTTGTTTGGGACAAGGACAGGGGTACAAGAGAAGGAAATGGGCAAAGAGAGAAGCCTGTACTCAGCCAAGGGTGCAGAGATGTTATATATGATTGCTCTTCAGGGAACCGGGCCTCCAGCTCACACCCCAGCTGCTCAACCGCCTCCTCTCTGAATTGACTGTCCCTTCTTTGGAACTCTAGGCCTGACCCCACTCCCTGGCCCTCCCAGCCCACGATTCCCCTGACCCGACTCCCTTTCCCAGAACTCAGTCGCCTGAACCCCCAGCCTGTGGTTCTCTCCTAGGCCTCAGCCTTTCCTGCCTTTGACTGAAACAGCAGTATCTTCTAAGCCCTGGGGGCTTCCCCGGGCCCCAGCCCCGACCTAGAACCCGCCCGCTGCCTGCCACGCTGCCACTGCCGCTTCCTCTATAAAGGGACCTGAGCGTCCGGGCCCAGGGGCTCCGCACAGCAGGTGAGGCTCTCCTGCCCCATCTCCTTGGGCTGCCCGTGCTTCGTGCTTTGGACTACCGCCCCGCAGTGTCCTGCCCTCTGCCTGGGCCTCGGTCCCTCCTGCACCTGCTGCCTGGATCCCCGGCCTGCCTGGGCCTGGGCCTTGGTGGGTTTGGTTTTGGTTTCCTTCTCTGTCTCTGACTCTCCATCTGTCAGTCTCATTGTCTCTGTCACACATTCTCTGTTTCTGCCATGATTCCTCTCTGTTCCCTTCCTGTCTCTCTCTGTCTCCCTCTGCTCACCTTGGGGTTTCTCTGACTGCATCTTGTCCCCTTCTCTGTCGATCTCTCTCTCGGGGGTCGGGGGGTGCTGTCTCCCAGGGCGGGAGGTCTGTCTTCCGCCGCGTGCCCCGCCCCGCTCACTGTCTCTCTCTCTCTCTCTCTCTTTCTCTGCAGGTTCTCCCCATGACACCACCTGAACGTCTCTTCCTCCCAAGGGTGCGTGGCACCACCCTACACCTCCTCCTTCTGGGGCTGCTGCTGGTTCTGCTGCCTGGGGCCCAGGTGAGGCAGCAGGAGAATGGGGGCTGCTGGGGTGGCTCAGCCAAACCTTGAGCCCTAGAGCCCCCCTCAACTCTGTTCTCCCCTAGGGGCTCCCTGGTGTTGGCCTCACACCTTCAGCTGCCCAGACTGCCCGTCAGCACCCCAAGATGCATCTTGCCCACAGCACCCTCAAACCTGCTGCTCACCTCATTGGTAAACATCCACCTGACCTCCCAGACATGTCCCCACCAGCTCTCCTCCTACCCCTGCCTCAGGAACCCAAGCATCCACCCCTCTCCCCCAACTTCCCCCACGCTAAAAAAAACAGAGGGAGCCCACTCCTATGCCTCCCCCTGCCATCCCCCAGGAACTCAGTTGTTCAGTGCCCACTTCCTCAGGGATTGAGACCTCTGATCCAGACCCCTGATCTCCCACCCCCATCCCCTATGGCTCTTCCTAGGAGACCCCAGCAAGCAGAACTCACTGCTCTGGAGAGCAAACACGGACCGTGCCTTCCTCCAGGATGGTTTCTCCTTGAGCAACAATTCTCTCCTGGTCCCCACCAGTGGCATCTACTTCGTCTACTCCCAGGTGGTCTTCTCTGGGAAAGCCTACTCTCCCAAGGCCACCTCCTCCCCACTCTACCTGGCCCATGAGGTCCAGCTCTTCTCCTCCCAGTACCCCTTCCATGTGCCTCTCCTCAGCTCCCAGAAGATGGTGTATCCAGGGCTGCAGGAACCCTGGCTGCACTCGATGTACCACGGGGCTGCGTTCCAGCTCACCCAGGGAGACCAGCTATCCACCCACACAGATGGCATCCCCCACCTAGTCCTCAGCCCTAGTACTGTCTTCTTTGGAGCCTTCGCTCTGTAGAACTTGGAAAAATCCAGAAAGAAAAAATAATTGATTTCAAGACCTTCTCCCCATTCTGCCTCCATTCTGACCATTTCAGGGGTCGTCACCACCTCTCCTTTGGCCATTCCAACAGCTCAAGTCTTCCCTGATCAAGTCACCGGAGCTTTCAAAGAAGGAATTCTAGGCATCCCAGGGGACCACACCTCCCTGAACCATCCCTGATGTCTGTCTGGCTGAGGATTTCAAGCCTGCCTAGGAATTCCCAGCCCAAAGCTGTTGGTCTGTCCCACCAGCTAGGTGGGGCCTAGATCCACACACAGAGGAAGAGCAGGCACATGGAGGAGCTTGGGGGATGACTAGAGGCAGGGAGGGGACTATTTATGAAGGCAAAAAAATTAAATTATTTATTTATGGAGGATGGAGAGAGGGGAATAATAGAAGAACATCCAAGGAGAAACAGAGACAGGCCCAAGAGATGAAGAGTGAGAGGGCATGCGCACAAGGCTGACCAAGAGAGAAAGAAGTAGGCATGAGGGATCACAGGGCCCCAGAAGGCAGGGAAAGGCTCTGAAAGCCAGCTGCCGACCAGAGCCCCACACGGAGGCATCTGCACCCTCGATGAAGCCCAATAAACCTCTTTTCTCTGAAATGCTGTCTGCTTGTGTGTGTGTGTCTGGGAGTGAGAACTTCCCAGTCTATCTAAGGAATGGAGGGAGGGACAGAGGGCTCAAAGGGAGCAAGAGCTGTGGGGAGAACAAAAGGATAAGGGCTCAGAGAGCTTCAGGGATATGTGATGGACTCACCAGGTGAGGCCGCCAGACTGCTGCAGGGGAAGCAAAGGAGAAGCTGAGAAGACGAAGGAAAAGTCAGGGTCTGGAGGGGCGGGGGTCAGGGAGCTCCTGGGAGATATGGCCACATGTAGCGGCTCTGAGGAATGGGTTACAGGAGACCTCTGGGGAGATGTGACCACAGCAATGGGTAGGAGAATGTCCAGGGCTATGGAAGTCGAGTATGGGGACCCCCCCTTAACGAAGACAGGGCCATGTAGAGGGCCCCAGGGAGTGAAAGAGCCTCCAGGACCTCCAGGTATGGAATACAGGGGACGTTTAAGAAGATATGGCCACACACTGGGGCCCTGAGAAGTGAGAGCTTCATGAAAAAAATCAGGGACCCCAGAGTTCCTTGGAAGCCAAGACTGAAACCAGCATTATGAGTCTCCGGGTCAGAATGAAAGAAGAAGGCCTGCCCCAGTGGGGTCTGTGAATTCCCGGGGGTGATTTCACTCCCCGGGGCTGTCCCAGGCTTGTCCCTGCTACCCCCACCCAGCCTTTCCTGAGGCCTCAAGCCTGCCACCAAGCCCCCAGCTCCTTCTCCCCGCAGGGACCCAAACACAGGCCTCAGGACTCAACACAGCTTTTCCCTCCAACCCCGTTTTCTCTCCCTCAAGGACTCAGCTTTCTGAAGCCCCTCCCAGTTCTAGTTCTATCTTTTTCCTGCATCCTGTCTGGAAATTAGAAGGAAACAGACCACAGACCTGGTCCCCAAAAGAAATGGAGGCAATAGGTTTTGAGGGGCATGGGGACGGGGTTCAGCCTCCAGGGTCCTACACACAAATCAGTCAGTGGCCCAGAAGACCCCCCTCGGAATCAGAGCAGGGAGGATGGGGAGTGTGAGGGGTATCCTTGATGCTTGTGTGTCCCCAACTTTCCAAATCCCCGCCCCCGCGATGGAGAAGAAACCGAGACAGAAGGTGCAGGGCCCACTACCGCTTCCTCCAGATGAGCTCATGGGTTTCTCCACCAAGGAAGTTTTCCGCTGGTTGAATGATTCTTTCCCCGCCCTCCTCTCGCCCCAGGGACATATAAAGGCAGTTGTTGGCACACCCAGCCAGCAGACGCTCCCTCAGCAAGGACAGCAGAGGACCAGCTAAGAGGGAGAGAAGCAACTACAGACCCCCCCTGAAAACAACCCTCAGACGCCACATCCCCTGACAAGCTGCCAGGCAGGTTCTCTTCCTCTCACATACTGACCCACGGCTCCACCCTCTCTCCCCTGGAAAGGACACCATGAGCACTGAAAGCATGATCCGGGACGTGGAGCTGGCCGAGGAGGCGCTCCCCAAGAAGACAGGGGGGCCCCAGGGCTCCAGGCGGTGCTTGTTCCTCAGCCTCTTCTCCTTCCTGATCGTGGCAGGCGCCACCACGCTCTTCTGCCTGCTGCACTTTGGAGTGATCGGCCCCCAGAGGGAAGAGGTGAGTGCCTGGCCAGCCTTCATCCACTCTCCCACCCAAGGGGAAATGGAGACGCAAGAGAGGGAGAGAGATGGGATGGGTGAAAGATGTGCGCTGATAGGGAGGGATGGAGAGAAAAAAACGTGGAGAAAGACGGGGATGCAGAAAGAGATGTGGCAAGAGATGGGGAAGAGAGAGAGAGAAAGATGGAGAGACAGGATGTCTGGCACATGGAAGGTGCTCACTAAGTGTGTATGGAGTGAATGAATGAATGAATGAATGAACAAGCAGATATATAAATAAGATATGGAGACAGATGTGGGGTGTGAGAAGAGAGATGGGGGAAGAAACAAGTGATATGAATAAAGATGGTGAGACAGAAAGAGAGCGGGAAATATGACAGCTAAGGAGAGAGATGGGGGAGATAAGGAGAGAAGAAGATAGGGTGTCTGGCACACAGAAGACACTCAGGGAAAGAGCTGTTGAATGCCTGGAAGGTGAATACACGGATGAATGGAGAGAGAAAACCAGACACCTCAGGGCTAAGAGCGCAGGCCAGACAGGCAGCCAGCTGTTCCTCCTTTAAGGGTGACTCCCTCGATGTTAACCATTCTCCTTCTCCCCAACAGTTCCCCAGGGACCTCTCTCTAATCAGCCCTCTGGCCCAGGCAGTCAGTAAGTGTCTCCAAACCTCTTTCCTAATTCTGGGTTTGGGTTTGGGGGTAGGGTTAGTACCGGTATGGAAGCAGTGGGGGAAATTTAAAGTTTTGGTCTTGGGGGAGGATGGATGGAGGTGAAAGTAGGGGGGTATTTTCTAGGAAGTTTAAGGGTCTCAGCTTTTTCTTTTCTCTCTCCTCTTCAGGATCATCTTCTCGAACCCCGAGTGACAAGCCTGTAGCCCATGTTGTAGGTAAGAGCTCTGAGGATGTGTCTTGGAACTTGGAGGGCTAGGATTTGGGGATTGAAGCCCGGCTGATGGTAGGCAGAACTTGGAGACAATGTGAGAAGGACTCGCTGAGCTCAAGGGAAGGGTGGAGGAACAGCACAGGCCTTAGTGGGATACTCAGAACGTCATGGCCAGGTGGGATGTGGGATGACAGACAGAGAGGACAGGAACCGGATGTGGGGTGGGCAGAGCTCGAGGGCCAGGATGTGGAGAGTGAACCGACATGGCCACACTGACTCTCCTCTCCCTCTCTCCCTCCCTCCAGCAAACCCTCAAGCTGAGGGGCAGCTCCAGTGGCTGAACCGCCGGGCCAATGCCCTCCTGGCCAATGGCGTGGAGCTGAGAGATAACCAGCTGGTGGTGCCATCAGAGGGCCTGTACCTCATCTACTCCCAGGTCCTCTTCAAGGGCCAAGGCTGCCCCTCCACCCATGTGCTCCTCACCCACACCATCAGCCGCATCGCCGTCTCCTACCAGACCAAGGTCAACCTCCTCTCTGCCATCAAGAGCCCCTGCCAGAGGGAGACCCCAGAGGGGGCTGAGGCCAAGCCCTGGTATGAGCCCATCTATCTGGGAGGGGTCTTCCAGCTGGAGAAGGGTGACCGACTCAGCGCTGAGATCAATCGGCCCGACTATCTCGACTTTGCCGAGTCTGGGCAGGTCTACTTTGGGATCATTGCCCTGTGAGGAGGACGAACATCCAACCTTCCCAAACGCCTCCCCTGCCCCAATCCCTTTATTACCCCCTCCTTCAGACACCCTCAACCTCTTCTGGCTCAAAAAGAGAATTGGGGGCTTAGGGTCGGAACCCAAGCTTAGAACTTTAAGCAACAAGACCACCACTTCGAAACCTGGGATTCAGGAATGTGTGGCCTGCACAGTGAAGTGCTGGCAACCACTAAGAATTCAAACTGGGGCCTCCAGAACTCACTGGGGCCTACAGCTTTGATCCCTGACATCTGGAATCTGGAGACCAGGGAGCCTTTGGTTCTGGCCAGAATGCTGCAGGACTTGAGAAGACCTCACCTAGAAATTGACACAAGTGGACCTTAGGCCTTCCTCTCTCCAGATGTTTCCAGACTTCCTTGAGACACGGAGCCCAGCCCTCCCCATGGAGCCAGCTCCCTCTATTTATGTTTGCACTTGTGATTATTTATTATTTATTTATTATTTATTTATTTACAGATGAATGTATTTATTTGGGAGACCGGGGTATCCTGGGGGACCCAATGTAGGAGCTGCCTTGGCTCAGACATGTTTTCCGTGAAAACGGAGCTGAACAATAGGCTGTTCCCATGTAGCCCCCTGGCCTCTGTGCCTTCTTTTGATTATGTTTTTTAAAATATTTATCTGATTAAGTTGTCTAAACAATGCTGATTTGGTGACCAACTGTCACTCATTGCTGAGCCTCTGCTCCCCAGGGGAGTTGTGTCTGTAATCGCCCTACTATTCAGTGGCGAGAAATAAAGTTTGCTTAGAAAAGAAACATGGTCTCCTTCTTGGAATTAATTCTGCATCTGCCTCTTCTTGTGGGTGGGAAGAAGCTCCCTAAGTCCTCTCTCCACAGGCTTTAAGATCCCTCGGACCCAGTCCCATCCTTAGACTCCTAGGGCCCTGGAGACCCTACATAAACAAAGCCCAACAGAATATTCCCCATCCCCCAGGAAACAAGAGCCTGAACCTAATTACCTCTCCCTCAGGGCATGGGAATTTCCAACTCTGGGAATTCCAATCCTTGCTGGGAAAATCCTGCAGCTCAGGTGAGATTTCCGGCTGTTGCAGCTGGCCAGCAGTCCGGAGAGAGCTGGAGAGGAGCCGCATTCTCAGGTACCTGAATCACACAGCCAAGGGACTTCCAGAGATTCGGGTGTCTAGGCTTCAAATCACCCTGTCCTAACTCTGCAACCTGAACCAGCCACTTAACCTATCTATCCAATGGGGATAGGAATGTCCACCACACATAGGGCATGTGAGAGAAGGCCTGACCTCCATCAGAGGACCTCACTCAGCCCTTGGCACAGTGGGCACTTAGTGAATTCTGGCTTCCTTCAACCAGTTTCCAGCTGTTCTATCCCCTTCCATTCTCTCAGTGGGTGAAATCGAAGAGACTGAGGACAATAAAGAACAAGGAACCGAACTGCCGGACGTGGTGGCATGCACCTGTAATCCTACCACTTTGCAAGGCCAAGGTGAGAGGATCGCTTGAACCCAGGAGTTCCAGAGCAACCTGGGCAACATAGTGAGATCCTGTCTCTATTTTTTAAAAAAGAATGAAACATAGGAATAAGATGTGGGTGAAGGACTCACATGCCGGCTTGGTCCCACTGGTCTTTGTGGTGAAGGAGGGGAGAGGTGAGAGGTGGGTAATCCGGAAAGAGAAAAGCACCCCCTCCCTGGATGAAGGCTCTTCTGGAGAGAGTCAAAGACAAATAAGGGTGGGGCGCAGTGGCTCATGCCTGTTATCCCAACACTTTGGGAGGCTGAGGTGGGAGGACCACTTGAGCCCACTAGTTCAAGACCAGCCTGTGCAACATAGCAAGACCTTGTTTCTAGAAAAAAAATTAAAGATTAGTCAGGTGTAGTGGTGCATGCCTGTAATCCTAGCTCCTCAGGAGGCTGAGGCAGGAGGATCACTCAAGCCCAGGAGTTTGAGGTTACAGTAAGCTATGATCATGCCACTGTACCCCCGTCTGGGTGACAGAACGAGACCCTGTCTCAAAAAAATAATAATTCCAAAAACAAATATGGAGACGGAAATTGAGCCCCCCTAGACTGGGAGCCCCCACTGAGTTCGGAAATTAGGCTTTACCTCCAGCCCTGGGGTGCCAGGCAGGAGAAAACCATGTGGTAGGCTGAGGGGGTAGGGTGACCCATTGGGGTGACCTAGATAGGGCCTTGGGTCACCCTCTGCCTCCTCCAGCCTGTGGCTGAAAGTCAGCCATGAAGTAATGGGGGACACTGTTACTCATCCCAGAAGCACCCACACTTACTCACTTTTGGGAAGGGGGACCTAAAGTGTGAAAAAAAGGTGAGGATTTTCCGTCTCACCCTAAATGGGACACCCTAAGTGGGGCATCGGTTTTTCCTCCTCCCCAGAACTTCCTGGTGTTTTCAGGCACCACAGGCTCCTTCCTGCCATCCCCATCTCTCTCTAATATTCTCCCCTTCTTTCTCCTTCAGCCTCCTCCCTTCAGACCCCATGAGCCTTGAATTAAGCTCCTTGGAGGAGAAGAGTTGACTGTCGGGTAGGAGACAGAGAGGCCTTCAGGCAGCTCTAGGGGGAGAAGTGCGGGGCCCCTCCAGGCTTCATTCCTCTGTCATGATAGGGGCTTACTCTGCTGCTGGGCCTTTCTGAGTGGTGCTTGCTGGGCTCTGTAATGACCCCTCTCACTGTTGGGGGGTACCCAAGAGAAAAGAGTATGGTGCAGAGTCTGGTTGGGACCATGTGGCCCTGAAAATCAGGATGCCTAGAGAAGCTTCGGAGTTTGAGAAGTCCCCCTTCCTCCCACCCTCCAACTGGGCTAATGGTGGGGCCTGGCCATTCAGAGGCAGGGAGGGGGTGGGACAGGCAGACCATCATCCCTAGGAGCAAAGGCCATACACTGTGTTGTGATGAATTGTTTCAAGCAACCAGAAGAGTACTGAGAATATTTAACCCGCACCCGTGCACCCACCCTGAATTAAGACGTGTGTCGCAACTCAGCATCTTTATCGGCAGCACTGAAGCTTTCCATTCTTTATTTTCATCAGGTTCAAAATCAATTTCCAAACAGTCTCCTACATTTTTCCCACTGCCATGGGGTCCTGGGCGTCCGGGCCCCCAATATTCACGCACTCGCACCACGCACTCATATTCCCTCACCCCACCATCACGGCCCCAAAGAAGGTCTTCCCTCTCGCGAAGTCCACCATATCGGGGTGACTGATGTTGACGTACACCCTCTCGCCCCTCCGGAGCTGCACCAGGCC
Organism: Homo sapiens; assembly: GCF_000001405.40. Lineage (NCBI taxonomy): Eukaryota > Metazoa > Chordata > Mammalia > Primates > Hominidae > Homo > Homo sapiens. The sequence goes on from NT_167248.2 coordinate 2,836,641, forward strand.
GCCGAACCCCACGCTCGTGTACCAGAGAGGCCCGTACCCTTGTCTCCTGGCCGGGTCCAGCACTGGAGTCACCGTCTCGGCGCCCTCGAGCAGCAGCTCGGGAGTGCCCGGCCCGTAGGCGCCCCCCGCCCGGTACAGAGAGCTGCGCAGCGTGACCGAGCGGCCCTGGGGGTCCCCGCCGCCAGGGGGCGCCCGGCCCCGGTAGCCGACGAGACAGTAGAGGTAATAGAGGCCGTCCTGCGGGAGCGCCAGCCCCTCGGCGTCCGAGAACTGCGTCCCGCTCGTCAGAAACGCCTGTTCCTTCGTCGTCTCCCAGCCTAGCCCCTGCCCCTTCAGCGGAGCGCCTGCGGAGACACGGGCCGACGCGCTCTTGGGAATGCGATCCTAAAGGCTTGGGACTTCTGGGGAAGTGGCGGCTTTTAGCCCCTGCGGGAGCCGAGCCGGGCCGGGGGAGGAGGGATGGTGCTGTTTCTGGGATGAGTGCGAGTTGGGGGCCGAGGGAACACGGATGTGGGGTGCAGAACGCTGTAGTGGGGACCTCCAGGCCGGCTTTTGCTTGCACCGGAGGGAAGAAGAAACTACACTGCGGGGACGAGCGTAAGAGTGGGCACGAGCGACAAAAGGTCGTGAAGCGGGTGGGAAACCGAGCACTGGAATCATGGAGCCGAAGGACTCTGGGCGAGCAGAACTGGAACCTTCGGATTATTTACACTCTTATTCAGGTCTTGGAGGTCCTTACCTATGAGGTGGGCAGCTGGGAGCCCGGGGCTGAGATCTGTTTCTGGCTCCTCCTCTGGCAGCTTCTGAAACCCTGGAAGGGGCAAAGAGTCCACGATTGGGGGCAGGGCAGCCACCCATGCAGGCTACCCTTGAGAGAACAGGGCGCAGGGATGGGGAGCCTGGATTCCTAGAGGAAGAGGTATCTGGGGACGCAGCAGGGAGCTGGGAGCCCCTGAGGGTCTGAAGCGGGGAAGGAGAGACAGTCTGCTCTTACCCAGTCCTTGCTGGGCCTGTGCCCCGGGGTCGGCCGTCTCCGTTACCTGGTTGGGTGGGGTCACAGTGCCCAGAGTTCAGATTCAGCTCATGTCACCCCTACCCCTCTGAAAGTGGACCCAAGCTGCAGGCCTGGGGTTTCTCCTACCAGCACCATCCCCAACACACACCTCCTTAGAAGGGAGAACAAGCAAGGCATAGGTACTTGGGCGGAGAAACAGATGTACCTCGGGAAGAGGAGAGGAGACACAAGGGGCTTATGTCGGGACACAAGCACAACATCACAGGAACATGGAAAGAGAGTCAGCAAAGAGACAAGACATCCCCACCAGGGACAGCCGAGCCAGCTGAGCCAGAGGGGGCAAAAGACCACAGGCACAACCAGAGGGAGCCAAGCATCCGCAAGATACAACTCTCCACCAGGGCCTGTTGCAGCCACTCACCAGTCCTCCCTGATCCTGGGGCACTAAGGCCAGCACAGCCAGGACAGTGATAGGCACCGCCAGCAACAAGGTCACCAGAGAAGTGGCTCCTGCCACAGCTAGCAGGAGGGAACCCCTCCCCTGGAGCCTCCCACCCCTGCCCTCCAGCCCCAGTGCCCCCATTGAGACTGAACCAGAGCCAGAGCAGGGGGCTTTCATACCTCAGGGACGGGCCCACCCCCTCCCTGTAGACCTGCACACCTGGCTGGGACTTTCCGCACACCCCTGCTCCCCTCACCCAGCTTCCTGTTTACCCAGAGCTGGGGTGGGGCAGCTGGATGCCTGGGTTCTCTGAACTGGGGAAGAAGTTGAGGTTAGGGAGACAGGCTCTCAGGGTGGAACCAAAGGGGTCTTTAGACATCTTCTGGCTCAGCAGAGAGAGAAACTGAGGCCCAGGGAGGGAAGGTAGCTTGCAGGAAGCCAGTCAGCAGAGCTGAAATGAGAACACAGATCTCCAGGTTTCCAATGTGGTTTGCATTCTTCTATACCCTCAAGGTAGGTGCTGGAGGAAGAGCTGATCCCGTCTCTGAGGTCAAGGGCCGGACTAGGACAAGGACTGGAATCTTGAGGGATGGATGTCTGGGTTCCCTGAGAAGAACTGATTCCCATACTGGGCTGACCTCCTCCCGTTCCCTTGCTCATCTCCAGCCCCCTGTGCTGAGTGAGAAAGGGAGAGGTAAGCCTTAGCCTCACCACTGACTACTGACTCACTAAGGAGGGATGGAAATGGAGCTTTACCTCCCTTGCTACAAAAAGTAAAGACAGATGGACGAGGCATACTCCCACCCTCAGAGAGCTTCCAAGTCTACAATGAGCCCTATCCATTAGTAGGTGCTTACTAAATGTTTATACATAAATGAATAAAAGGACAAATAAATGCAGGAATAACCAAAACAAAGCAGCAAGGACCACATGAATGGTAGATGTAGGCAGCATGAGTGGTTAAGAGTCAAGGGAGTAGCCGGGGTAGTGGCTTACACCTGTAATCCCAACACTTTGGGAGGCTGAGGCAGGTGGATCACTTGAGGTCAGGAGTTCGAGACCAGCCTGGCCAACATGGTGAAACCCTGTCTCTACTAAAGATACAAAAAGTTAGCCGGGCGTGGTGGCACGCGCCTGTAATTCCAGCTACACAGGAGGCTGAGGCAGGAGAATCACTTAAACCTGGGAGGCAGAGGTTGCAGTGAGCCAAGATTGCACCATTGCACTCCAGCCTGGGCAACAGGCTGAGACTCTCTCTCAAAAAAAAAAAAAAAAAAAAAAAAAAAGAGTCAAGGGAAGAAAGACCAGGTCCAAGGAAGCTGGAAGTGGCTCCAATCATCTCCCCTTCTTGGTAACATCTCTATGTGTTTCCGTAATACTAATAATAATATAGCTGACCCACAAAATGCACTTAACATGTTTATGCCACTGATTTACACACTTTAATAATTTTTTTTTTTGAGACAGGGTCTCGCTATGTCACCCAGACTGGAATGCAATGGCAGGATCATGGCTCACTGCAGCCTTGACCTCCCAGGATCTATGGATTCACCTACCTCAGCCTCCTGAATAGCTGGGACTATAGGCACATGCCACCATGCCCAGCTAATTTTTGCATTTTTTGTAGAGATGGATTTTTGCCACATTGCCCAGGCTGGGCTCAAACTCCTGGACTCACGTGATCTGCCCGTGTTGGCCTCCTAAAGTGCTGGGATTACAAGCATGAGCCATCATGCCCAGCCAATAATTATAATCCTGACAAAAACCCTAAGAGGAAACTGAGGTACAGAGAGGTTAAGAAACTTATGGAGCTCACAGAGTCAGTGGCAGAACCAGAATTTGAACCCAGGCATCTGGCTCCAGAGCCTTGATAACAAGACAGTTTAAAAACTGAATACTGGGGCTGGGCGCAGTGGCTCTTGCCTATAATACCAGCACTTTGGGAGGCCAAGGAAGGTGGATCATCTGAGGTAAGGAGCTCGAGAGCAGCCTGATCAACATGGTGAAACCCCATCTCTACTAAAAATATAAAAATTAGCGGGGCGTGGTGGTAGGCACCTTTAATTCCAGCTACTTGGGAGGCTGAGGCAGGAGAATCACTTGAACCCAGGAGGCGGAAGTTGCAGTGAGCCGAAATCATGCCATTGCACTCCAGCCTGGGTGACAAGAACAAGACTCTGTCTTAAAAACAAAAACAAACAAACAAAACAGTATTAGGCCAGGCGAGATGGCTCACACCTATAATCCCAGCACTTTAGGAGACCAAGGCAGGTGGATCACTTGAGGTCAAGAGTTTGAGACCAGCCTGGCCAACATGGTGAAACCCCTTCTCCATTAAAAATACAAAAATTAGCTGGATATGGTGGCACAAACCTGTAGTCCCAGCTACTTGGGAGGCTGAGACAGGAGAATCGCTTGTACCCAGAAGGCAGAGGTTGCAGTGAGCCAAGATCACACCACTGGACTCCAGCCTGGGCAACAGAGCAAGACTCCGTCTCAAAAAAAAAAAAGAGTACTGACTTGAGATTTGTATGTAAAATTTGCCTTCCTCAGGCCAGAAAAGAAATGGGGAAATAAATACTGAACTCCAGTCAATGTTAAGCTTCTGAAGGGTTTAGATGTAAAATGTACTGATATTTGTAATTTTAAAAGATATTTAAAAGTGAGATGGATTGATAAATATGTGATAAAGCAAATAAAAAATGTTAATAGAGCCAGGTGCAGTGGCCCACTCCTGTAATTCCAGCACTTTGGAAGGCTAAGGTGGAAAGATTGCTTGAGACCAGGAGTTCAAAATCAGCCTGGGCAACATAGTAAGACCCCATTTCTACAAAGCCTCATGTGGTAGCTGGTGTCTGTAGTCCTAGCTACTCAGAAGGCTAAGGTGGGAGGACCTCTGAGCCCAGGAATTCAAGGCTGCAGTGAGCTATGATTTCACCACTGCACTTCAGGCTGAGTGACAGAGTGAGACCCCATCTCAAAAACAAAACAAAACAAAAAATGTTAATAGTAGCATCTAGGTGGTAAGAATATGTTCACTGTACAATTATTCTCATTTCACCCTATGTTTGCACTTTTTAATAATAAAATGTAAAAAAAACAAAACAAACAAACAAAAAACCCTGAATATTATTCAGCATAGGGAACATGGAGGATGGGGAGAAGGGTGGGGGAGGAAGTAGAAGGTTCTTGAATTTGGAAGGGGAAACGCAAATTAATATGGACCCACCCAGGCACCACATCTCCTCCTCACCCCTTGCCTTACAGGCGCTCCCCAGTCTTCACCCTCCTCAAGGAGTGGGTGTGCAATCCTCCAGCACCCATCTCCTTCTCCATCACAGTGCCACTAAGAAGCCTTCACCCAGGTCTCTCCAGAGAGCCTCAGGCCGCTGCCTTTACTTAGTTCTGTGTTCAATGCCAGAATGCTGCCTCCTACAGGAAGTCCACCTGTATTGCCCACACCTCCTTTCCTGTCACCAACTTGTCACCAACTTTCTGTCCTTGATCTATCCACAGGGCTCATGTAGATCTAGTATGGCTGCCTTTAACTCTCATGTTTGTTAATCAGACAGCCAAGCAGCCTGCTGCATAGAGCTGCAGAACACCAAGTGGGTCACCAGAACACCAAATATGCCAGAGCTCCCAGTCTGAACTGGAGCAGGGTACATGTGTCCACAGACATATGCCAAGATCAAGAGGTCTCAACAGATGCAGTGTAAGAGGTAATAGAGAAGAGTTAATCAAGGAAGACACCTGAAGGTGGTGGGTGTTTGCTGACTAGTGGCAGGATCAGTGAAATGACTGGAGCTGAGGCAGATTATGGCCCTAGCTACAGGCCCAGAAGTTTGAAAAGAAAGATGTTGTAACCCTAACCCTGGAGCCGAACTTCCTCTCCTAACAATGCTGGGGAGGAACCCAGGCTGGGGGAGAAGTTAAAGCCAGAGGAGGGGCAGGAATGTCTGAGGTGGCAACACTTCTCTTCAGCCAGACAGCACTGGCCAGTTTGGAGTCTGTCCATCCTGCAGGCCACAAGCTCTGGGTAAGCTGGGAATGGGCAGGGACCTTGGTGGAAGGATGGTCACACCCCAGAGTGGGGTGAAGCTAAGATGAGGGGAGGGAGAGTATGGGTTTGAGTTTCCCTGGGCCGTCGAGGAATCCTCTGAGTCTCTGCTCCCCAAAGAAATTAAAGACAATTCATTTCTGTGCCCACGGCCCTTATGGCCTCCACCTGCACTTCTGCTCCCCACCCCCCAGAATTCCTCTTAAACCCAGAAGGGTCCCAGTTTCCAGACCCTAGTCAGTATATCTGGCTCTGGGGTGAAGAGAACGGCCCCCTCTTCACCCTCAAACAGGAACCAGTGGTTGGAGGGGAGGAAGTGCCTGAGGGGAAGTTATGGGGCCCCAGATACTCCTCCATGCCCCACTTCAGCCCTAGCAGCATCTGCCTGTGGGAAGCAGCTCTCCACACCAGCCAAGGGGGCCCCCACACTCCCGCGCTGCTCTGCGGCTCAGGGAGCAGCCCACCTGCTGGGTGTGCTGATATCACCCTCCCTTCTTCCCCCCAGTGCCCACACCCACCCAGGCCCAGGCTCCTTCCCCTCCATCATCCCCTTACCAGCACCTAGAACCATCCAGGGCTGAAAAGTCCCCTCCAAACCACGTGGTCAGCCCAGGGCAGAGGAAAGGGCTGGGCTCTGGAGTTGGGCAGAGCTGGCCTTAAACCCCAGCTCCACCTTTCTGGGATGGGTGACCTAGTAAAGTCCAGGCTTGAATCTCGGGTCTTTACTTGGGCAACGGGCACCATGATACCCTATGTTCTGGGGATTAGCAGTGAGGAATGGAAAGTGCCCAGCTCAGGGTTGGCACATAAGGGAGGCTCCCCAGCCTGGGAACGATTATAACAGAGGGCCCCTCACTTCACAGATGAGGAACTTGAGGCAAGTCACCAGCCCCTGATCATTTCGCCTAAAAGAGCAAGGACTAGAGTTCCTGACCTCCAGGCCAGTCCCTGATCCCTGACCTAATGTTATCGCGGAATGATGGTAAGTAAAGTGTCTCTTGCATCTGCATAGAGAGGGTCCTGGGAGCTTAGGAAGTGATGGGGAACAGTGATGTATGCAGCTCATGACTAGGTGGACAGGCCTCTGGGGACAGCTGGTACAGGAGGGAAAGGGACCTCACGGGAGGCCCAGAAACCTGGTAAGAGGTGAGGTATTAAGGTCTGGGATGGAGAAGCTCTGAGGGTATATTTTTCTGCCTCTAAAACTGTTGGAGAGGGAATCTGAGAAAGCTGCAACCAACCAGGAGGCTGGGGTACGCTGGAGAAGGAATGGGCTTCATAACCTTGAGCCCTCTTCCCTGAAGATATATGTATCTACGGGGGCCTGGGGCTGGGCGGGCTCCTGCTTCTGGCAGTGGTCCTTCTGTCCGCCTGCCTGTGTTGGCTGCATCGAAGAGGTGAGCGCTGCACTCCCTCCCTCCCCCTGCAGCAGTGCCCCCTGTGCCCCCACCCCCACACGCTTTCCCACTGCTTTCCCAGAACACTGCCTGGCCCTGGAGCCACTGGGAAGCCAACAGGGGAGTCCACGCCTGCTGGTGGGGGGAGCCCGGGAGGGCCCGGGAGAAGCACAAAGGGTGGGCTGTGTTGAGCTTCTTCTTTTCTTCCAGTAAAGAGGCTGGAGAGGAGCTGGGTGAGTCTGGGGACAGGGAAGGGGGAGGGCAAGAGAGATCCTGAGTGGGTGAGTGGGGAGAAGCATGGCTGAGCGCTGAGAGGAGGGTTGGGGACGGGAGACAAGGAGAGAGAAAGTAGGAGCATGAGAGAGGCAGAGAAAATCGAGGCAAAAGAGAAAGAGAAAATGAGACAGAAACCAAGAGAAAAAGTGAGACAGAGGATAGGAGAGACAGGGAGAAAATGAGAGTGAGAGAGACACAAAGAGAAGAGCAATGAAAGAGAGAGAGAGAGAGAGGCTCCAGAACCAGGCACAGTGGCTCACGTCTGTCATTCCAGCTATCGCAAGGCTGAGGCAGGAAGATAGCTTGAGCTCAGGGGTTGAAGACAATCCTGGACAACATAGTGGGACTCTGTCTCCAAAGAAAAAAGAGAGAGAGAGAGAGAGAGAGAGAGAGAGGGAGAGAGAGAGAGAGAGAGGGAGAGAAGTAAGAAAGGCTGGAGGTGGGAGCAGAACTCACAGGGAAGGATCTGACGGCATCGCCTCCCATCAGCACCTTCTGTCCTGGTCCCAGGCCCAGGGCTCCTCAGAGCAGGAACTCCACTATGCATCTCTGCAGAGGCTGCCAGTGCCCAGCAGTGAGGGACCTGACCTCAGGGGCAGAGACAAGAGAGGCACCAAGGAGGATCCAAGAGCTGACTATGCCTGCATTGCTGAGAACAAACCCACCTGAGCACCCCAGACACCTTCCTCAACCCAGGCGGGTGGACAGGGTCCCCCTGTGGTCCAGCCAGTAAAAACCATGGTCCCCCCACTTCTGTGTCTCAGTCCTCTCAGTCCATCTCGAGCCTCCGTTCAAATTGATCATCATCAAAACTTATGTGGCTTTTTGACCTTTGAATAGGGAATTTTTTAAATTTTTTAAAAATTAAAATAAAAAAAACACATGGCTCACCCTTCCACCCACTCTGGGGTCAAATAGTAATTTATTGGGTGAATGACAGTGTTCAGGGACCCAAGCTCCCCTAACAGCCAGAAGAGGGTATGTGTGGGCCTGGCAGGAAAGGGCAGTTGCCAAGGAGGAGTCATATCTGATCCTTCCCATTTCTCAGGACAATCAGGCTCAGCCTCCTGGGACTGGGGGAAGCAGATGTGCTGAGCTCCCACATGGTGGTGGGAGGGGCGCTGGGACCACAGCCGGCAGCTGCCTTCTTGGACCTTTCCAGGTCAGACCTGGTGGAAGGGAAAGTTCAGAGTTGGGGGAATCCGGAGAGAGTAGATTTGGCATCTGGAGAATGGAGAAGAAAACACTTGAGACTCATGAGGAGTTAGTGGTGGGGCAGATTTATTGGGGTCTTTTGAAGAGGACTAGGGACATCTGGGCTCTGGAATCACTCCTCGGGGCCCATCTGAGGAGTGGCAGTGTGTTCCCATGTGACAGTGGCCTGGTCAGAGAGAGGACAGGAGCTGCTCAGTGTTGCAGTCCCGAGGCTCTCCTCTTCCTGGTCTCTGTCCTCCCTCCTCCCACTCTCTTACTGCCCCTCCCATCCCGTCCACTATTGCCCCTGGCTCCATTACTCACATTTGCCCTGGTAATAGACGGTGCTGCCCACGGCCACAGAGAGAAAGCTGACAGCATAGAATCCAGCCCGAAGGAGGAGGACTGTACCAGCCCCTAGCTGAGGATGTTCTGCATGGGGCAATGGAGACGGGGGTTGGGGAAGAAGTGCACACAGGCTCAGGGAGGGAAGGGGCCTCAGAGGAGCATCCCTGCCTCCCAAGGACATTGCCTCTTGGGGCCTCCAGCCAGGAGGAGACACCACCTCCCAGCATCTCACCTTTCTCCACCACCAGCCGAGTCCCATTCCCTGTCCCGACACCAAGGCCCAGCACCTCCACTCTGCACACGTAGATGCTGGCGTCATGGCCTCGCACGTCCCGGATGTGCAGCTCAGCCTGGTGGTCATGGAGGAAACGGGAAGAAGCAAGTGGGGCCAGGCGGCCCCTGAACTCTGGGGTTCCATTCCTCACCTCCTTCCCTGGAACCACCTCATCTCGGAACCACGTGACGGAGCCAATGGCCAGTCTCCCTTGGCTGGCATTGAAGGAGCAGGGCAGGAAGGCAGAGGATCCTTCCAGGGTACGAATCTCAGGGGGCTGGGACACCCAGAGAGCACAGGATCCTGGGGGCAGAAGGAAGACCCAGAGAAACACCTCCCCAGTTATTCCAAAGAGAAAAGACAACAGAGCTTGGAGTAGAACATCCCAGCTTTCTCCAGGCATAGGGTGCATGGGAATAGATACTTTGGGTGCCTCATTAAACCCTTCCCTCTTAACCAATCTGATTTCTTAACATTGCTTATTAAATCATTTTTCGGCTGGGTGCAGTGGCTCACGCCTGTAATCCCAGCACTTTGGGAGGCCGAGGTGGGCGGATCACCAGGTCAGGAGATCGAGACCATCCTGGCCAACATGGTGAAACCCCGTCTCTACTAAAAAAATACAAAAATTAGCCGGGCATGGTGGTGTGCACCTGTAATCCCAGCTACTCGGGAGGCTGAGGCAGGAGAATCGCTTGAACCCGGGAGGCAGAGGTTGCAGTGAGCCAAGATTGCGCCATTGCACTCCAGCCTGGGCGACAAAGCAAGACTCCATCTCAAAAAATAAAAAATAAAAATCATTTTTCAAATTCTTCCTATACCAACTCTCACTCTCACCCTCTGCCATCATTCTCCAGCCAGTTCAGTAGTAACTTGTCTAGCTGAAATGTAAACCATCATGGTGAAATTAAGCTCATTAATGAATGCAGCTGCCTAGTTAACTAATATCACTCATTATATTATCCAGGTATTATTTTAGTACAAATGGCATTGTACAGTAAGCCATCCTTCCTCTTTTTCTTTTTTCTTTTTTTGAGATGGGGTCTTGCTCTGTTGCCCAGGCTGGAATGCAGTGGTGCAATCTTGGCTCACTGCAAACTCCGTCCCCTGGGTTCAAGCGATCCTGGTGCCTCAGCCTCCCAAGTAGCTGGGACTACAGGCACCCACCACCACGACTGGCTAATTTTTGTATTTTCAGTCGAGACAGGGTTTCACCATCTGGTCTCAAACTCCTGACCTCAAGTGATCCACCCACCTCGGACCAGGCTGGTCTCAAACTCCTGATCTCAAGTGATCCACCTGCCTCGGCCTCCCAAAGTGCACCCAGCCACTCTTGGTTTTCGTTAAAGAAAGTAACTAATTAAATCTCCAGGTGAAGACGTGGCCTTAATTGGTTGAGATTCCTATTTAACCCGTCCATGTTGATGAATTAAACCAAATATTAAAATCCCTGATTAAATTATCTACTTAGGGAAATTTACAAGTCATTCTATTTCAGTGGTTCTCAAACTTGAGTGTGTATGGAAATTACCTGGAGCATCTGCTAGAACAGATTCCTGGGCCTACCCCCCGAGTTTTTGACTCAGTAGGTCTGGAGTGGGGCCTAAGAATTTGTTCTAGGTTCCCAGAAATCCACATTTTGAGAACTCCTGCATTTAGTTAATAATATGCCTGATAGTTAAGGTCTCTCAGTTCATTAAAAACAGTTTCGGCCGGGTGCAGTGGCTCACGCCTATAATCCCAACACTTTGGGAGGCCAAGGCGAGTGGATCACCTGAGGTCAGGAGTTTGAGACCAGCCTGGCCAACATGGTGAAACCTCGTCTCTACTAAAAATACACAAGTTAGCCAGCAGTAATGGCATGCACCTGTAATCCTAGCTACTTGGGAGGCTGAGACAGGAGAATCATTTTTACCCAGGAGGTGGAGGCTGCAGTGAGCTGAGATACCGCCACTGTACTCTAGACTGGACAACAGAATGAAACTGTCTCAAAAAAAAAGTTTCACCACCAGGCGGGCGCAGTGGCTCATGCCTATAATTCCAGTAATTTGGGAGACCGAGGCAGGCAGATCACTTGAGATCAGGAGTTTGAGACCAACCTGGCCAACATAGCAAAACCCCATCTCTACTAAAAATACAAAAATGGCTGGGCGCAGTGGCTCAGGCCTGTAATCCCCGCACTTTAGGAGGCCGAGGCAGGCAGATCACCTGAGGTCAGGAGTTCAAGACCAGCCCGGCCAACATGGTAAAACCCTGTCTCTACTAAAAATACAAAAATTAGTTGGGTGTGGTGGTGCGCGCTTGTAATCCCAGCTACAGGAGGCTGAGGCAGGAGAATTGCTTGAATCTAGGAGGCAGAGGTTGCAGTGAGCCAAGATCATGCCACTGCACTCCAGCCTAGGTGACAGAGCAAGACTCCGTCTCAAAAAAAAAAAAAATTAGCCAGGTGTGGTCGTGCGTGCGTGTAGTCCCAGCTACTCAGGAGGCTGAGGCAGGAGAATCACCTGAACATGGGAGGCAGAGGTTGCAGTGAGCCAAAATCGCACCACGGCACTCCAGCCAGGCGACAGAGCGAGACTCAGTCTCAAAAAAAAAAAAAAAAAAGTTTCACCAAGAAATTTATCATAGATTTACTTGGATCTCTCAAACTAAAAAGCCTCACAGTGGGTGACACAGAGAGACTGTGAATTGGGGGAGTCCACTGAGTGTCACCTTTGGAGCAGTCCCACTCCTCCCTCAGAGCCGTGTGTTTCAGCCCCCACCAAGCCCGTTCCCTATAGCATCTAGTCCAGCCTCCTGGATCTCCCTCCTCCCACCCACACTCCTTGGGGTCCTGAGCGCACGCCCTGTCACCTGGATGGACCATGATCAAGATGAGCAACAGCATCCAGGCCATGTCGGAAGATGTCCCAGTTGGCGAAGGGGATCTGAGCAGTGAGGTCTGGGTGGAGGAGGAAGGACTCACTACTTGTAGCCAGGCCTTTGGTCACCAGATGGGGATGGGGAGCTTCCTATGACACACGGGACTCACACATCACTTGCCAAGGACCACAACTGCCAGGGACCTCGAGCATCAAATGCTTGCCTCCCTGAGGAGAGAGGACAGATGCTGCTGGAGGAGATGTCAGGGTCTCTAGGAGGCCAAGGGGCCAGCTTGTGGCAGGCTAGCTAAGCGTGTGAGGGGGAGGGTGGGGCTTAGATGGCTGCTAACCCAAGGGTGAGTGGGCGGTTGGGCGGGTGAGACCAGGATGTGGGTTCCCCCACCTTCCGAGGTTCAAGGAGACCAGCTTTTACCCAGAACAAGCCTCCAGGAGCCCTCCTTGGCCCAGAAGCTAACCTACTTACCCTCCCTGCTGCTCACCAGTACCCAGACCCATCCCACCCATTCCCTTCCTGGAATCTGGCCTCACTGCACCCCAGGGCTACTCCAAGATTTCTATGAGGGATTAGGAGAAGCAAGCTGATTGGTGAAGCTATATTTAATTTGCATAGCAATCACCTTGTGTGTGTGTGTGTGTGTGTGTGTATGTGTGTGTGTGTGTGTGTGTTTGGTTGGGTTTTTTTGTTTTTTGTTTTTTTTTTGAGCTGGAGTCTCACTCTGTCGCCCAGGCTGGAATGCAGTGGCACAATCTCGGCTCACTGCAACCTCTGCCTCCTGGGTTCAAGCAATTCTCTTGCCTCAGCCTCCCAAGTAGCTGGGATTACAGGCGCACATCACCAAGCCCAGCTAAATTTTGTATTTTTTGTAGAGACAGGGTTTTACCATGTTGGCCAGGCTGGTCTCCAACTCCTGATCTCAAGTGATCCACCAGCCTCGCCCTCCCAAAGTGCTGGGATTCCTGTTTTGGTTTTTTGAGACAGGGTCTGGCTCTGTCTCACCCAGGCTGGAGTTCAGTGGCGCCATCACGGCTCACTGCAGCCTCAACCTCCAGGGCTCAGTTGATCCTCCCACTTCAGTCTCCTGAGTAGCTGGGACTGCAGGCGCACACCACCACACCAGGCTAATTTTTGTATTTTTTGTAGAGATGGGGTCTCCCTGTGTTGCCCAGGCCGGTATCCAACTCCTGGGCTCAAACAATCCATCCACTTAGGCCTCCCAAAGTGCATGAGTCACCATGCCTGGCGAAATGTATTTCTTAAATAATGAGACTTGAAAGTCTAAATTACTCCTTAAACCATGGACTACAGGATGGATGTTATGTTAGCAGGCAGGAAAACAACATTCAGCTGGGCGTGGTGGCTCATGCCTGTAATCCCAGCACTTTGGGAGGCTGAGGTGGGAGGATCACCTGAGGTCAGGAGTCCGAGACCAGTCTGATCAACATAGAGAAACCCCGTCTCTACTAAAAATACAAAATTAGCCGGGTGTGGTGGGGCGCACCTGTAATCCCAGCTACTCGGGAGGCTGAGGCAGGAGAATCACTTGAACCCAGGAGGCGGAAGTTGCAGTGAGCTGATATCGCACCATTGCACTCCAGCCTGGGCAACAAGAGCGAAACTCCGTCTCAAAAAAAAAAAAAAAGAAAAAGAAAACAACATTCGTCTCTTTGGACATCTCCATCAGAGCTCTTGGATAACTATGTACATTGTCAATGAGCAGTAATCATTTTAAAGAAATCTTGTTTTTCGGAGCAGTAGACCTCAACAGTAGGCTTAAAATATTCAGTAAACCAGCGGGGCATAGTGGCTTACACTTGTAATCCCAGCACTTTGGGAGGCCAAGGTGAGAGGACGGCTTGAGGCCAGGGGTTTGAGACCAGCCTGGGCAACATGGCAAGACCCTGTCTCTACAAAAAAATTTAAACTTAGCTGGACATAGTGGCACACACCTATAGTACCAGCTACTCAGGAAGTTGAGGAAGGAGGATTCCTTGAGCCCAGGAGTTTCAAGGATGCAGTGAGCTATGATTTTGCCACTGCATTTCAGCCTGAGCAATGGAGGGAGACCTTGTCTCTAAATAAAATACAATTTAAATTGGGAATAGTAGTAAATGGAGTTTAAAAAAAAATAATTTTGGCTAGGTATGGTGGGTCACACCTGTAATCCCAGTACTTTGGGAAGCCCAGGAGGGCAGATCACTTGAGTTAAAGAGTTGGAGGCCAGGCCAGGCATGGTGGCTCATGCCTGTAATCCCAGCACTTTGGGAGGCTGAGGCGGGCGGATCACGAGTTCAGGAGATCGAGACCATCCTGGCTAACACGGTGAAACCCCATCTCTACTAAAAATACAAAAAATTAGCTGGGTGTGGTGGCATCTGCCTGTAGTCCCAGCTACTCAGGAGGCTGAGGCAGGAGAATCACTTGAACCTTGGAGGCAGAGGTTGCAGTTAGCCGAGATTGCGCCACTGCACTCCAGCCTGGGTGACAGAGCAAGACTTTGTCTCAAAAAAAAAAAAAAAAAAAAAAGAGTTGGAGATCAGCCTGGACAACCTGACGAAACCCTATCTCTACAAAAAATACAAAAATTAGCTGAGCATAGTGGCTCATGTCTGTGGTCCCAACTACTCAGGAGGCTGAGGTAGGAGGATCATTTGACTCTGGAAGGCAGAGGTTTCAATGAGTTGAGATCATGCTGCTGTACTACAGCCTGGGCAACATATTGAGACCGTGTCTCAAAAACAAACAAACAAACAAAAAAAAGAAAAATTTTAAAATCAGTAAACCACGTTGTAAACAGATGTACTATCATCTAGGCTTTTATTTATTTATTTATTTATTTATATATTTTTTTGAGATGGAGTCTTGCTCTGTCACCCAGGCTGGAGTGCAGTGGTGCAATTTTAGCTCACTGCAACCTCCGCCCTCTGGGTTCAAGTGATTCTCCTGCCTCAGCCTCCCTAGTATCTGGGATTACAGGTGACTGCCACCACACCCGGCTAATTTTTGTATTTTTAGTAGAGACAGGGTTTGACCATCTTGGCCAGGCTGGTCTTGAACTCCTGACCTCAGGTGATCCGCCCACCTCAGCTTCCCAAAGTGCTGGGATTATAGGCATGAGCCACCACATCCAGCCATCTAGGCTTTATTGTTCCATTTACACAGCGTGGCAGAGTAAATTTAGCTAATTCTTGCCAAGTGCAGTGGTATGTGCCTATGTCTCTGCTACTCAGAAGGCTGAGGTGGAAGGATCACTTGAGGACAGAAGTTCAAGACTGCAGTATGCTACGATTTTGCTTGTGAAAGCCATGGCTCCATGGCACTCCAGCCTGGGCAACAGAGCAAGACCTTCTCTCTCTCTCTCTCTTTTTGAGACAAGGTCTCACTCTGTTGCCTAGGCTAGAGTGCAGTGGCACAATCACGGCTCACTGCAGCTTCAACCTCATGGGCTCACACCATCTTCCCACCTCAGCCTCCTGAGTAGCTGCCACACACCACCATGCCTAGATAATTTTTGTATTTTTTGTAGAGACAGGGTCTTACCATGTTGTCCAGGCTGGTCTCAAACTCCTGGGCTCAAGTGATTTGCCCACTCGACCTCTCAAAGTACTGGGATTACAAGCATGAGCCACTGCGCTTGGCCAACCTCAGCTCTACAAAAAAGAAAAAAAAAGTCCAGGCACAGTGGCTGACTCCTGTCATCCCAGCACTTTGGGAGGCCAAGGAGGGCAGATCACTTGAGGTCGTTAGTTCAAGACCAACCTGACCAACATGGAGAAACCCCGTCTCTACTAAAAATACAAAATTAGTCGGACGTGGTGGCGCATGCCGGTAATCCCAGCTACTCGGGAGGCGGAGGCAGGAGAATCACTGGGAGACGGAGGTAGTGGTGAACTGGGATCGTGCCATTGTACTCCAGCTTGGGCAACAAGAACAAAACTCTGCCTAAATAAATAAATAGATAAAATTAGCCAGGTGTGCTGGTGTGTTCCAGTAGTCTTAGCTACTTGGGAGGCTGAAGCAGGAGAATCACTTGAGCCCAGGATTTCGAGGCTGCAGTGAGCTATGATCTTGCCACTGCACTCCAGCCTGAATGACAGGGTGAGACCCTGTCTCAAAAAAAAAAAAATCACTACTGACAGATCATAACAGATAAAATAATCAAGAAAAAGTTTGAAATATTGCAAGAATTACCAAAATGTGCCACTGAGACACAAAGTGAGCACAGGCTATTGGAAAAGTGGCACCTACAGACTTGCTCAACACAGGGTTGCCACAAACTTCAATATATAAAAAAATGCACATCTGTGGAACACAATAAAACAAGGTAATACCTCTACAGGGATTGGTACAAGAGTATGCCAGACACTCTTGTATGTGTATCACACAGCTACAGGAGATAATACAGCACATAGAAGTGAAGGATGACATGTAATATGCCATGTGTCCACCCCTTACCGCATGCCCCCTTCTGGCTCCTTTTACTATTACATTTTTTAGAGACAAGGGTCTCACTCTATCACTCAAGCAGGAATACAGTGGTGTGATCATTGCTCACTGCAGCCTCGATCTCCTGGACTCAAGCAATCCTCCTGCCTCAGCCTCCCAAGTAGCTTGGAATACTGGTATGTGCCATCACACCTGACTTTTTACTTTTATTTATTTTTGAAAGACAGCATCTTGCTATGTTGTCCAGGTCTCAAACTCCTGGTCTGGCTCCTTTTATTTATTTTATTTATTTATTTATTTTGAGATGGAGTCTTGTTCTTGTTGCCCAGGCTGGAGTGCAATGGCTCAATCTCAGCTCACTGCAACCTCTGCCTCCCGGGTTCAAGCGATTCTCCTGCCTCCGCCTCCCGAGTAGCTGGGAGTACAGACGTGCGCCACCACACCCAGCTAATTTTTGTATTTTTAGTAGAGACTGAGTTTCACCATGTTGGCCAGGCTGGTCTCAAACTCCTGACCTTGTGATCCGCCCGCCTTGGCCTCCCAAAGTGCTGGGATTACAGGCGTGAGCCACCGCGCCCAGCCTGGCTCATTTTATATGAATACATGTTGTTGTTGTTGCTGTTGTTGTTGTGAGACAGTCTCGTTCAGTCGCCCAGGCTGGAGTGCAGTGGCACAATCTTGGCTCATTGCAACCTCTGCTTCCCAGGCTCAAGCGATTCACGTGCCTCAGCCTCCCGAGTATCTGGGTTCACAGGCGTGTGCCACCACACTCGGCTAATTTTTGTGTTTTTAGTACTGACGGAGTTTTGCCATGTTGGCCAGGCTGGTCTTAAACACCTGGCCTTAAGTGATCCACCCGCCTTGGCCTCCCAAAGTGCTGGGATTACAGGTGTGAGCCACCACACCTGACCTAATATATGTTTTTTCCTTTGTATCTGTGTTTCTAGCTCTGTGTCACAGTACTTTTGTAGACTGTCCAGTTCCCACCCATCACTGAAGTAATTCAGAGCTTTCTTTTGGAGAAGCAGTCATCTCATGGTTAAGAATGCTGGTTTGGAATGAGTCTAGGTTCAAATGTCAGCTCCCCCGCAATCCCCACAATTATGTTATACAACCTTTTTTTTTTTTGAGACAGGGTCTCACTCTGTCAACCATTCTGGAGTGCAGCGGTGTGATCATATGATCATAGCTCCCCGTGGCCTTGAACTTTGAACTCCTGAGCTCAAGTGACCCTCCCACGTCAGCCTCCAGAGTATTTGGGACTACAGACACACATCATCACGTTTGGCTCACTTATTTTTATTTTTTGTACAGACAGAGTCTCACCGTGTTGCCCAGGCTGATCTAAAACTCCTGGCCTAAAGCAATCCTCCCACTTCGGCCTCCCAAA
Source organism: Homo sapiens (assembly GCF_000001405.40). Lineage (NCBI taxonomy): Eukaryota > Metazoa > Chordata > Mammalia > Primates > Hominidae > Homo > Homo sapiens. Next base: position 2,854,363 of record NT_167248.2, read on the forward strand.
GTGCTGGGATTACAGGTGTGAGCCACTGTGCCCAGTCTAACCTTGAACAAATTATTTTACCTCCCTAAGCTACCGGAACAACCACACATGCCACACAACCTGGGAAGGACCAACTCAGCCATTCTCCAGCAGCGAAGTGGCTGCCACCCCAGGGATATCTAACTAGAGGATGTGGGATGGAGGCGTCATGGCAAGGCAAGGCCTGCCCCCTGGTGGTCAGAGAGCATGGGAGGCCCGAGCTACCAATGGTGGCTTTTCTCAACTGGGCCTTGATTCCAGCTTCTGCCCGATCCCCTACCTTGCTTGCCTCCTTCTATCAACACCCCATTCACACCCCAAAGGATCAATATAGGAAAAATTGTCTCTACTATCTCAGCTGTAAGAAGCCCACGGTTTGGGGAGGGAGAAGAGGTCACCACCAGTGGGGACGTGGAATAAGTAACTGGCTGGGGATAAAACTCCACTCTTCCGGCCGGGAGCAGTGGCCCACGCCTGTAATCCCAGCACTTTGGGTGGCCGAGGTGGGCAGATCACCTGAGGTCGGGAGTTCGAGACCAGTCTGGCCAACATGGTGAATCCCCATCTCTACTAAAAATACAAAACTTAGCCAGACGTGGTGGTGCGTGCCTGTAATCCCAGCTACTTGGGTGGCTGAGGCACGAGAATCACTTGAATCCAGGAGGCGGAGGTTGCAGTGAGCCAACATTGTGCCACTGCACTCCAGCCTGGGCAACGAGCAAAACTCCGTCTCAAAAAAAAAAAAAAACAAACTCCACTCTTCCACAGTGTACACTCAATCACATGGTTCTACTCCACGTCCCAAGGCAATGTGGCTTAGAAGACAAATCAGCCTAGGTTGGAGTCCTGGTGCCACTACTGTAAACTGGGGGTACCACCTGTAAACTTCCAGACCCCATTGCCCTAGGTGTTCAATGTGTGGTTCTTCTCCAGTGCTTCCCCCGTCCTGTGCAAGGGTGGCAGTGCCATTGCTACACCTGGACTCAAGGGCATCCTGCTCTCCCAGCTCTTTTCTATATCTAAGACTTCTAAACATTTGTCATAGCTAAAAATGTTCCAGATTCCAAAGACAGTATGTGGGTTTTTTTTTTCAGTCCATCTAGAATAAATCCTGATATGTGTGTACATTCAAGGGACCCCTTTTAATAACTCTGAGAACCTCTAGGGAAGGCTAACCTGCAAGACAGGAACTGCTGCGCTAATCAGCACAGTGGGCACAAGAATGGAACTTTTTTTTTCTTTTTTTTTTCTTGAGACAGAGTCTTGTTCTGTTACCCAGGCTAGAGTGCAGTGGTGCGATCTCGGCTCACTGCAACCTCCGCCTCCCGGGTTCAAGAGATTCTCCTGCCTCAGCCTCCTGAGTAGCCAGGATTACAGGCACCCACTACCATGCCCAGCTAATTTTCATATTTTTAGTAGAGACGGGGTTTCACTATCTTGGCCAGGCTGGTCTTGAACTCCTGACCTCGTGATCCACCCACGTCGGCCTCCCAAAGTGCTGGGATTACAGGCGTGAGCCACTGCATCCATCCTGGCCAAGGATGGAACTTTTCTAAAGAAATTATTCCCAGGCACTCAAGAGGAAAGGCAACAAATAAAACAGTGTTGAAGTGGATGTGCACTGGTCTCTGTTTTTGTGTGTGTTTTTTTTGTTTTTTTTTTTTGAGAGGGAGTCTCGCTCTGTCGCCCAGGCTGGAGTGCAGTGGTGTGATTTCCGCTCACTGCAACCTCTGCCTCCCGGGTTCAAGCGATTCTCCTGCCTCAGCCTCCCAAGTAGCTGGGACTACAGCGCCTGTCACCATGCCTGGCTAACTTTTTTGTATTTTTACTAGAGACAGGGTTTCACCATGTTGGCCAGGCTGGTTTTGAACTCCTGACCTCAAGTGATCCACCTGCTTCAGCCTCCCAAAGTGCTAGGATTACAGGCGTGAGCCGCCGCACCCAGTCTCTGGTCTGACTTCTTTAACAACAAGCTGTGGGCTGGCTGGATGTAGTTGAGGCCAATAAACTCCCAACTCAGACCATGAAAACAGGTGAAAACACAAAAGTCCACAATCCAGCACAGGTGATCTCATCTCTCCCCCACCCCCACCAGGGTTCCTCTACGTGCTGGCAGGGGTGAGATTGGGTGACTTCTCTGGCCAAGTCTTATCAATATTTTTCAACTAATGAATGGCTCCCAGGTGATGATACTTTCAGCTTCTGAGAACAGCTTCTCCTCTGAGGCTCATAGCATCTGACCTCACGACCTTCAATCTCTCCTTGGTGTCGTCCACTCGCCCTCACATTCATCAAGAGCCCATCCCTGACTCTGCAGCCTCTTCTCTATTTATTTTTTCTTTCTTTTTTCTTTTTTTTTTTTTTGAGACAGAGTTTTGCTGTTGTTGCTGGAGTGCAATGGCGTGATCTTGGTTCACCGCAACCTCTGCCTCCCAGGTTCAAGCGATTCTCCTGCCCCAGCCTCCAGAGTAGCTGGGATTACAGGCACCTGCCACCATGCCAGGCTAATTTTTGTATTTTTAGTAGAGAAAAGGTTTCACCATGTTAGCCAGGCTGGTCTCGAACTCCAGACCTTGTGATCCGCCCACCTCGGCCTCCCAAAGTGCTGGGATTATAGGCGTGAGCCACCATGCCCAGCCCACTTCCTCTCTATTTCAACCTCTGCCAACTCCTTAATGGACTTAATGTCCATATGAATGACTTTTTTTTTTTTTTTTTTTGAGAGAGAGTCTTGCTCTGTCACCCAGGCTGGAGTGCAGTGGCGTGATCTCGGCTCCCTGCAAGCTCCACCTCCTGGGTTCACGCCATTCTCCTGCCTCAGCCTCCCTAGTAGCTGGGACTACAGGCACCAGCCACCATACCTGGCTAATTTTTTTGTATTTTTTAGTAGAGACAGGGTTTCACCATGTTAGCCAGGATGGTCTCAATCTCCTGACCTCGTGATCCACCTGCCTCGGCCTCCCAAAGTGCTGGGATTACAGGCGTGAGCCACCGTGCCCAGCCATAAATGACATTTTTAAACATTGATATATAATTTCATACAGTAAAATGCACAGATCTTAATGTACAGTTTGATGACCTTTGGCCAATATGTACACCCATGCAACCACACTGTAATAGAGATATAGATAATTCTCATTATCCTGGAAAATTCCTCCATGCCCCTTTTTGGTAAATCCCTTTCCCCTCCTAGATGCAACCATTTTACCATTTTTAACCTCTGTAGACTTTTTTCTTGGGACAGAGTCTTGCTCTGTTACCCAGGTTGGAATGCAGTAGTGCAATTATAGTTCACTGCTGCCTTGACCTCCTGGGCTCAAGCCATCCTCCCACCTCAGTCTCCTGAGTAGCTACGACTACAGGCATATGCCACCGCACCCAGCTAATTTTTTAACAGTTTTTTTGTAGGCTGGGTGCAGTGGTTTAGGCCTATAATCCTAGCACTTTGGGAGGCCGAGGCAGGGGGATCACAAGGTCAGGAGCTCAAGACCATGCTGGCTAACACAGTGAAACCCCATCTCTACTAAAAATACAAAAAAAAAAAAAAAAATTAGCCGGGCGTGGTGGCACATGCCTATAGTCCCAGCTACTCGGGAGGCTGAGGCAGGAGAATTGCTTGAACCTGGGAGGCAGAGGTTGCAGTGAGCCGAGATCGCGTCATTGCACTCCAGCCCGGGTGACAGAGCAAGACTCTGTCTCAAAAAAAAAAAAAAAATTTTTTTTTGTAGAGACGAGGTCCTTCTATGTTGCCCAGACTGGATTCTAACTCCTGGGCTCAAGTGATCCTCCTGCCTTGACCTCTCTAAGTGTTGGGATTACAGGCCTGAGCCACTGCGCTCGGCCTCTATAGATTAGTCTGTTCTTGAACATCATATTAATGGAGTCATATAGTACATACTCTTGTATCTGGCTCCTTTCATTCTGCTTAATGTCTGTGAGATTCGCCCACGCTGTTGTATGTATCAGTGTTTCATTCCTTTTTTTTGCTGAGTGGTAATCCTTTATATGATGTAGCACAGCTTGTTGATCTATTCACCTGATGAAGTACAATTGGGTTGTTTCTATTTTTTGTTTTTCTTATTATGGCTCAATCTGCTATGAAACTTCTTGTACCCATCTCGCAAATGCCTTTTCAATACCCTAAGTGTGCAACTTCACAGTTATTTCACCTTGTCCACTCCAATCATCACCTTGACTCTCCATGACCTACATCTCAGATCCTGTCACCATGGAAGCTGTTTCACTTTGAAATCTCACCTCCTCTTTCCCAAGGACATAAAAGCCATCCAACCTGAGTCCCCCAGACTCCTGTACCCTAAACGTGTGCTTTTATACCACTGTCCTGTTGGAAAATTTTTGGGTTGTTTCTCCCACTTTTTTTTTTTTTTTTTTTTGAGACAGAATTTTGCTCTTGTTGCCCAGGCTGGAGTGCAATGGTGCGATCTCGGCTCACTGCAACCTCCGCCTCCTGCGTTCAAGTGATTCTTCTGCCTTAGCCTCCCAAGTAGCTGGGATTACAGGCATGTGCCACCACACCCAGCTAATTTTGTATTTTTGGTAGAGATGGGGTTTCACCATGTCGGTCAGGCTGGTCTCGAACTCCTGACCTCAAGTGATCCGCCTGCCTCGGCCTCCCAAAGTGCTGGGATTATAGGCATGAGCTAGCACCCCTGGCCCCACTTTCTTTTTAAAAAGTGTTATTATATATTTTTTATTATATATATTTTTGAGATGAGATCTCACTATGTTGCCCAGGCTAGTCTCAAAGTCCTGACTCCGGGCTTTAGGTGTTCCTCCGACCTCAGCCTTTCACGTAGCTGGGATTATAGGCATGCACCTGGCTTCCCACTTTCATTCAATAAATTTTGCGCATCTACCATGGCTTTCCTAGGCAATCCTGTCATAGCCACAGTTGTCACTACTGCTTATTCTCTGTCAAGTCCCCAATCTACATCTCCCCCTCAGGCCTCTTTCTTGAGACCTAAGTCCACACTATCTAACTGCTCTCTAGGCGGCTTACCCTGAATACTCCACAGGCATTTCAAAGTCATCAGTGTCCACTCAGACCAGGTCAGCCTCCTGTCATCCCTGTCCCAGTGAATGGAAACACAAAGCCCCAGTCACTTAAGGCAAACACCTGGGATTCATCCTACTCTGCCTTCTCCCTCAGTTCCCCCATCCAAAAGATCTCCAGGCCCTGTCCATTTTGCTTCTGAAAGATCGCAGGTGTCTTTCCCTTGCTCTTCATTCCACTGGTTGCTAAATCCCTCATCAACTCAAGGGGAAACGAGCAGAGTTGCTTCTCTGATGGGTAGTGTGGTTTCTGCACAGCATCCCCTTCATCCCACCACTGCTGGGCATTGAGGTTCATTCATCTATTCAGCATTGCTCTTCACGAGGGCCTTCCATGGGCCAGACACCCTATCTTCATCTCTCTTAATCGCTCTTTTCAGTATCTCTCTCCTTATCTCTCATATTTCCCACAGCTCTGTCCACAACTCTTTCTGTCTCACCATGTTATTCATATTACTTGTTTCTTCCCCCGTGTCCACTCAAACGCCACATCTCTACACACCCCTACCCCTCTGCCTCTCTGTCACATGCATACACACTTCTGCTTATTCACTCATTCAACAAATATTCAGCGAGCACCTTCCACGTGAGACATTCTATTTTTTTTCTTTTTTTTTTTTTTTGCGCTCTCAGCTCACTGTAACCTCCACCTCCCAGGTTCAAATGATTCTCCTGCCCCAGCCTCCAGAGTAGCTGGGATTACAGGCACATGCCACCACCCCTGGCTAATTTTTGTATTTTTAGTAGAGATGGGGTTTTGCCATGTTGGCCAGGCTGGTCTTGAACTCCTGGCCTCAAGTGATCCACCTGCCTCAGCCTCCCAAAGTGCTGGGATTACAGGTGTGAGCTGCCGTGTCTGGTCTGCCTCTCCGTCTTTCTCTCTCTCTGTCTTCCTCCATCTCTCTTCGCATCGCTTTCTGCCTCCCCATCATTCTCCATGTTTTCCCTTCCCATCTCTCCCCATCTACATACCTTATTCTTTTACTCCATTTCTCTTCCTTCCCCATTTCTCTCTGGGTGAGAGAATGAAGGAAGGCTAGTGACTAGTCACCTCTTCCCTCTAGGGGCCAGAGTTCAGGCCTGCCTCAGCTCTGCCAGGCTGGTTGGCACTACTCTTGTTTGCCCTTGGAGTCTCTGCACAAGGATGCTTAAAAAAAAAAAGTTTAGGCCAGGCACAGTGGCTACCGCTTGTAATCCCAACACTTTGGGAGGCCGAGGAGGGTGGATCACGAGGTCAGGAGTTCGAGACCAGCCTGACCAATATGGTGAAACTCCGTCTCTACTAAAAATACAAAAAGTAGCCAGGCGTGGTAGCATGCACCTGTAATCCCAGCTACTCAAGAGAAGAATCGCTTGAACCCAGGAGGCAGAGGTTGCAGTGGGCCAAAATCACGCCACTGCACTCCAGTCTGGGCGACAGAGTGAGACTCCATCTCAAAAAAAAAAAAAAATTTGTGCAGCAGCGACAGAAAAGTAACCTACAATATTAGAGGAAGACTCACATCTCTCAGAAACTATATATTAAGCAGGCAAAAAAATTATTAAAGACAACGGGTGCGGTGGCTCATGCCTGTAATCGCAGCACTTTGGGAGGCTGAGGAGGGTGGATCACGAGGTCAGGAGGTCAAGGCTATCCTGGCTAACACGGTGAAGCCCCATCTCTACTGAAAATACAAAAAATTAGCCAGGCATGGTGGCATGCATCTGTAGTCCCAGCTACTAGGGAGGCTGAGGCAGGAGAATCGCTTGAACCTGGGAGGTGGAGGTTGCACTGAGCTGACATCACTTCACTGCACTCCAGCCTGGGTGACAGAGCGAGACTCCATCCCAAAAACAAAACAAAACAAACAAAACACACGCACACACAAAGGTGGGAGTGTTATGTAAGAGAACTGCAGGGGATATTTCCACTCCCAGGCTCAAAGGGGTGAGGGGAGAGAGAGGTTACAGCAGTGGTTCTTAGTTATTTTGTGCCACAGATCCCTTTGGCATTCTAGTAAAGCATAAAATTTAAAAAATATACATACAAAAACAAATCGGCCAGGCGCAGTGGCTCACGCCTGTAATCCCAACACTTTGGGAGGCCGAGGCAGGTGGATCACCCGAGGTCAGGAGTTCGAGAGCAGCCTGGCCAACATGACAAAACCCTGTCTCTACTAAAAACAAAAAATTAGCTAGGCATGGTGGTCGGCGCCTGTAATCTTAACTACCTGGGAGGCTGAGGCAGGAGAATTGCTGGAACCGGGAGGCGGAGGTTGCAGTGAGCCGAGATCACGCCATTGCACTCCAGTCTGGGTGACAGAGCAAGACTCCGTCTCAAAAAAAAAAAATTGCATCGAAATCAAATTCCAGTTATCAAAATATTAATAAAAACTTTCAATAGAGTAAATTGAAACTGTCCCAAGATTGACAAGAATTGCATGCTGGGATCTGGGCAGAAATATAGTTATAATTAAGCATAAACCAGGCTGCACTTTGGCTCACTGCTCTATTCCTGCAAGTCTCCAGATCCTGACCATCTGCATCCCCGTTGTGCTAACATTAGGATGAGAATGTCTCTATATTATGATCCATTGTCTCTATATTTAAAAAAAAAAAAAAAAAGAAGCCAGGCACGGTGACTTACGCCTGTAATCCTGACACTTTGGGAGGCTGAGGAGGGCGGATCACGAGGTCAAGAAATCCAGACCATCCTGGCCAACATGGCAAAACCCTGTCTCTACTAAACATACAAAAAAATTAGCTGGGCTTGGTGGCGCGCATCTGTAGTCCCAGCTACTCAGGAGGCTGAGGCGGGAGAATCTCTTGAACCCATGAGGCAGAGGTTGCAGTGAGCCAAGATCATGCCACTGCACTCCAGCCTGGGTGACAAAGCAAGACTCTATCTAAAAAAAAAAAAAAAAAAAAAAAAAAAAAAAAGACCAGCACTGTGGCTCACGCCTGTAATCCCAGCACTTTGGGAGGCCAAGGTGGGCAGATCACGAGGTCAAGAGTTTGAGACCAGCCTGGGCAACATAGTGAAACCCCATCTCTACTAAAAATACAAAAAAATAATGGCATGAACCCAGGAAGTGGAGCTTGCAGTAAGCTGAGATCCTGTCACTGCACACCAGCCTGGGCGACAGAGCGAGACTCCGTCTCAAAAAAAAAAAAAAATTGCTGGACGTGGTGGCGGGTGCCTGCAATCCTAGCTACTTGGGAGGCTGAGGCAGGGGTATCACTTGAATCCGGAAGGTGGAGGTTGCAGTGAGCCGAGATCGCGCTACTGCACACCAGCCCGGGCGACAGTGTGAGACTCTGTCTCAAAAAAAAAAAAAAAAAGATAATTAGTCACCATGGCTGGGTGCAGTGGCTCATGTCTGTAATCCCAGCACTTTAGGAGGGCAAGGCAGGTGGATCACCTGAGGTCAGGAGTTCGAGATCAGCCAGAGCCAACATGATGAAACTCCTTCTCTCCTAAAAAATACAAAACTTAGCTGGGCGTGGTGGCGGGCGCCTGTAACCCCAGCTACTCCGGAGGCTGAGGCAGGAGAATTGCTTGAACCCAGGAGGAGGAGGTTGCAGTGAGCTGAGATCATGTCACTGCACTCCAGCCTGGGTGACAGAGAGAGACTCCATCTCAAAAAAAAAAAAAAAAAAAACCTAAGGCGTGGTGGCACATGCCTGTCGTCCCAGCTACTCAGGAGGCTAGGGTGGGAGGATCACTTGAGCCTGGAGGTTGAGGCTGCAGTGAGCCATGACCATGCCACTGCACTCCAGGCTGGGCAACAGAACAAGACGCTGACTCAAAAGGAAGAAAAGAAAGAGAAGAAAAGTCTATCTGGGTATGATGATGACTCCTAATATCTTCTCTCTGGTGGTTGATCTGGTCATTTGATAAGATCTCTAGGCAGGAGGTCTTAAGACAATTGCACTTCTTTTGCAAAGAAGTTTTTTCAGTCAGATAAGGAAATTCCAGAAAGTGTGGTAGGACAATTCTAAGGCAGCTTCTAAGGCCTCTCAGCATTTCAAAGCACCAGTCTTTGGGGTATCACTTTCTGAGCCCCAGCATCTTCTTGCATGTCTATTCTTTTCCCCTCATCTCTGTTTCCTTCTCAGAAGGCCCTGAGTTTCCTTCTCCACCCGCTTGTCTTCCTATATACCCTTCAGTATTCACTTTTTTTGGTGGGGGGGATGGAGTTTCGCTTATTGCCCAGGCTGGAGTGCAATGGCGTGATCTCGGCTCACTGCAATCTCCACCTCCCAGGTTCAAGCGATTCTCCTGCCTCAGCCACCCAAGTAGCTGGGATTACAGGCATGCGCCACCATGCCTGGCTAATTTTGTACATTTAGTAGAAACGGGGTTTCTCCATGTTTGTCGGGCTGATCTCAAACTCCTGACCTCAGGTGATCTGCCTGCCTCGGCCTCCCAAAGTGCTGGGATTACAGGAGTGAGCCACCGCGCCAGGCCTAGTCTTCATTTTTGTCCCACAGTCAGAGCAGCTGTCATTCTCTCTATCCCAGGCAGTTTTTCTGAGCATCTAAGCACTGTCTCACCCCAGTAGTCTGTCAAGCCATTCTCAATGGAAAGACCAGTCTGGGAGGCAGTCTCACTCAGAATAAAAGCCAGAGTCTTTACAAGGCCCTACCCAAGCTGACCTCCTCCTCACCTGGCTTCAGCAGCACAGGCCTCCCTGCTACTCCATGAACACTCCAGATATCCACACTGCTCTCACATCAGGGCCTTTGAACTTGCTGTTCCCTCCACCTGAAATGTTCTTCTCCCATTGTGATATTGTTATAATAAAAATATATATTTTTGGGCCCGGGTGTGGTGGCTCACACCTGTAATCCCAGCACTTTGGGAGGCCGAGGGGGGCAGATCACGAGGTCAGGAGATCAAGACCATCCTGGCTAACATGGTGAAACCTCGTCTCTACTAAAAATACAAAAAAAAATTAGCCGGGTGTGGGGGCAGGCACCTGTAGTCCCAGCTACTCGGGAGGCTGAGGCAGGAGAATGGCGTGAAACCAGGAGGCGGAGCTTGCAGTGAGCCGAGATCGCCACTGCACTCCAGCCTGGGCGACAGAGCGAGACTCCATCCCCCCACAAAAAAAAAGGCCAGGCGCGGTGGCTCATACCTGTAATCCCAACACTTTGGGAGGCCAAGGCGGTCAGATCACAAGGTCAGGAGATCGAGACCATCCTGGCTAACATGGTGAAACCCCGTCTCTACTAAAAACACAAAAAATTAGCCGGGCGTGGTGGCAGGCGCCTGTAGTCCCAGCTACTCAGGAGGCTGAGGCAGGAGAATGGCGTGAACCTGGGAGGTGGAGCTTGCAGTGAGCGGAGATCGCGCCACTGCACTCTAACCTGGGCAACAGAGCAAGACTCCATCTCGGGGAAAAAATAAATAAATATGTATATATATGGGTTGGGTGTGGTGGTTAACACATGTAATCCCAGCACTCTAGAAGGCTGAGACCAGAGGATCACTTGAGCCCAGGAGTTCAAGACCAGCCTGGGCAACCTGGCGAGACTTCATCTCTACAAAAAATTTTAAAATGAGCCAGGCATGGTGGTGCGGGTCCCAGCTGCTTGGGAGGCTGAGATGGAAGGATTGCTTGAGCCCAAGAAGTTGAGGCTGCAGTGAGCTATGATGGTGCCACTGCACTCCAACCTGGATGACAGAACAAGAAACTGTCTCAAAAAAAAAAAAATAAAAAAAAAAAAAAGGTCAGGCACGGTGGCTCAGGCCTGTAATCCCAGCACTTTGGGAGGCCAAGGTGGGAGGATTACTTGAGCCCAGGCAGTCAAGACCAGCCTGGGCAACACAAGGAGACCCTGTCTCTAAAAAAAATTTTAAAAATTAGCCAGGTGTGGTGGCACATGCCTGTAGTCCCAGTTACTCAGGAGGCTGACAAGGGAGGATCGCTTGAGCCTGGGAGGTCAAAGCTGCAGTAGCCATGTTTGTGCCACTGCACTCCAGCCTGGATAACAGAACGAGACCCTGTCTCCCTGTCTCAAAATATTAATGTGTGTGTGCGTGCGTGTGTGTGTGTGTGTGTGTGTGTGTTTTGGTCTCCATCCTGGCTCCTGGCCAGACCTCCTAAAGCCCTTGTAATTTCCTAAATGATAAAGTGAAGGGAGCTTTTGTTATTCATAACAAGCTCTTTTCAACCACAACTGAGTTTATGTTAGTAAGTTGACTTTTAGAAAGCCCCTAAGGTTGGGGTTTGTTGCCAAGGTAGGCAACTGTGTGATTAGAGAGTTAGAACTTTTAGCTCCAACCCTCTGACCTCCAACTAATGGCTATTGAATCAAGTATGCCTGCATAATGAAGCCTCCATAAAAAAAAACAAAAAAGATGAGGGTTGGAGAGCTGCCAGGTTGATGAACACATGGAGGTGCAGGGAGGTGCCCAGAGAGGACAAGAAAGCTCCAAATCCCCCTTCCCCGATACTTTGTCCGGAGCAACTCTTCCATCTGACTGTTCCTAAGTTTTATCCTTCATAATAAACTAGCTAACATAAGTAAAGTGTTTACCTGAGTTCTGCGTGCTATTCCAGCGAATTACTGAGCCAGAAGAGGGAGTCATAAAAACAGTTAGGAGGCCTGGACTTGTTTGTGATTGGTATCTGGAGTGGGGGCAGCCTTGTAGAACTGAGCCCTTCAACTTGGGGATTAGATAACTGGTAATTATGGGTAGAGTGTCAGAACTGAATTAAACTGCAGGACTCCCAGTTAATATCTACCAAGAACTGAAGAATTGATTGGTGTGGGAGAAGTCTCCACATGATTGGTGTAAGAAGTGGTGTTCTTGGCCAGGCGCAGTGGCTCACGCCTGTAATCCCAGCACTTTGGGAGGCCGAGGCGGGCCGATCATGAGGTCAGGAGATTGAGACCATCCTGGCTAACATGGTGAAACCCTGTCTCTACTAAAAATACAAAAAATTAGCCAGGCATGGTGGCGGGTGCCTGTAGTCCCAGCTACTCGGGAGGCTGAGGCAGGAGAATCACTTGAACCTGGGAGGTGGAGGTTGCAGTGAGCAGAGACTGCACCACTGCACTCCAGCCTGGCCAACAGAGCAAGACTCCATCTCAAAACAAAATAAAACAAACAAACAAAAAAAACTGAGATTCTTTGCAAAGAGCCTGGAATAACTTCCTTTTAGTCCTGGACTATAATGATGATGATAAATATACCTCGATGTAACCCTGAGATCCCAAGATTCACTAGCCCTTGAATAAAAAAAAGGAAAAAGAAAAAAACAGTATATTTTTTCGTTTTGCAAATCACAGTTCCCTTATTAAGATGGAATTGCTGCCAATTACAGAGAAGCTATTTGCCTAAGCCAAAAATCCATGAGGTTCACATGGACTTATAGTTACACAAATTAGAAACAAATGTTATATTTAAAACCATAGAGAAATGCCCAGGTGATGAAAGCTGGGGTGAAGGAGTCTGCACATTCATTTCAAACTGTTAAAGGATTTGTGGGCCATGCAATGGTCCCTTGCATTAGAGAAGTCAAAGAGCTTTGTGCAATCCTCTCCTGTCTGTGATCTGGAAGACACGTGCTCATCACAGAGCTCCAGCTGCTCCGAGACTTTACTCCTTTCTTCAGCTGCACGCACTGCTCTCTCGCTTTTGTTAGGAATTGACTAATTCCTCCTCTTCCTCTTCCTCCTCCTCCTTGCCATCTCTAGGCCCAGTCAGCATCTCTTGTTCATCCTCTGATCCCATGTCCAGCTATGGTTCTGGATTCAACACTAGCAGCAACAGTGGCGCTGACTCCACTTTAGGATCAATAAATATTTTTCTGGCTAGGCGCAGTGGCTCACATCTATAATCTCAGTACTTTGGGAGGCCAAGGTGGGTGGATCACAAGGTCAAGAGATCGAGACCATCTTGGCCAACATGGTGAAACCTCGTCTCCACTAAAATTACAAAAATTAGTTGAACATGGTGGTGCGCACCTGTAGTCCCAGCTACTTGGGAGGCTGAGGCAGGAGAGTCGCTTGAACCCAGGATGTGGAGGTTGAAGTGAGCCAAGATCGTGCCACTGCACTCCAGTCTAGCGACAGATGGAGACTCTGTCTCAAAAAAAAAAAAATAAGTATTTTTCTTTCTAGCCGTATATCCACCTTACATGGTCCCTCAACTCCCCAAGCCCACTCTGCCTGCCCCATCTCCTCCTTCCACATCCTCTCCTCAACCTAGCACTTGGTTGGCAATGCCTTCCTCGATCCTCTGCCAAAGACCCTCTAGCCAGTGCTTACCCTGTCTGTTCTCTCTCTTTACCCAAAGAAATACATAAAGTTTGACCAGAATGGAAACAGAGATATCAGTGAAAAAAGGTGATTTGGGGAAGTGTGCAGGCCTAGGAAGACAGAGGCTTGTTCCTTTGCTTGCTTAAAATCTTTGATCAAACGGCCAGGCGTGGTGGCTCACACCTGTAATCCCAGCACTTTGGGAGGGCGAGGTGGGCGAATCATGAGATCAGGAGTTCAAGACCAGCCTGGCCAACATAGTAAAACCCCGTCTCACTAAAAATACAAAAAATTAGCCAGCTGGGCGTGGTGGCAGGTGCCTGTAATCCCAGCTACTCTGGAGGCTGAGGCAGGAGAATCACTTGAACCCGGGAGGTGGAGGTTGCAGTGAGTGGAGATTGCACCACTGCACTCTAGCCTGAGTGACAGAGTGAGACTCCATCTCAAAAAAAAGAAAAGAAATCTTTGCTCAAATATCACTTTTTCAGAGAACGCTTCTCTAACCACTCTATTTATTTTATTATTTTATTGTATTTTTTGAGACAGGGTCTCACTCTGTTGCCCAGACTGGAGTGTAATGGCACGGTCATGGCTCACTGCAGCCTTGATCTCCTGGGCTCAAGCGATCCTCTCACTTCAGCCTCCCAAGTGGCTAGGACCACAGGCGTAAGCCACCGTGTCTGGCCAGACCACCATATTTAAAACTGGGGACAAGTCAGGCTCACACCTGTAATCCCAGCACTTTGGGAGGCCAAGGTGGGAGGATCACAAGGTTAGGAGTTCAAGACCAGCCTGGCCAACTTGGTGAAACCCCATCTCTACTAAAAATACAAAAATTAGCCGGGTATAGTGGTGATCGCCTGTAATCCCAGCTATTCGTTAGGCTGAGGCAGGAGAATCGCTTGAACCCGGGAGGCAGAGGTTGCAGTGAGCTGAGATTGTGCCACTGCACTCCAGCCTGGGCAACAGAGCGAGATTCTGTCTCAACAAAAAAAGCTGGGTGCAGTGGCTCACGCCTGTAATCCTAGCACTTTGGGAGTCCGAGGTGGGTAGATCACCTAAGGTCAGGAGTTCAAGACCAGCCTGGTCAACATGGTGAAACCCCGCCTCTACAAAAATACAAAAATTAGCTAGGTATGATGGCAGGTGGCTGTAATCCCAGCTACTCGGAAGGCTGAGGCAGGAGAATCGCTTGAACCCAGGAGGCGGAGGTTACAGTGAGCTGAGATCAAGCCATTGCACTCTAGCCTGGGCGACAGAGTGAGACTCCGTTTAAAAAAAAAACAAAAAACAAAAAACAAAAAACTGGGGACCATTGGCAATAATACTCCTATGTCCCCTCTTCCCTACTTTGTTTTCCTCCATAGGCACCTGGCGCCTTTTTTTTTTTTTTTTTTTTTTTTTTGAGACGGAGTCTCACTCTGTTGCCCAGGCTGGAGTGCAATGGCGCGATCTCAGCTCACTGCAACCTCTGCCTCCCGGGTTTAAGCGATTCGCCTGCGTCAGCCTCCTGAGCAGCTGGGATTACAGGCACGCACCACCAGGCCCTGCTAATTTTTGTATTTTTAGTAGAGATGGGGTTTCACCATGTTGGTCAGGCTGGTCTCCAACTCCTGACCTTGTGATCCGCCTGCCCCAGCCTCCCAAAGTGCTGTGATTACAGGCGTGAGCCACTGCGCCTGGCCACCTAGCACCTTTAATATACTTATTTATTTGTATTGTCTGCCTTCCCCAATTAGATCAACCATGAAGACAAGAGTTTTCATTTGTTGGGTTCTCTGGGCCTAGAGGCATGTCTGGCATATAGTAAGCATTCAGTAAATATCTGTTGAGTGAACGTATGAATAAAGAAGTGAGTTCCTCCCAGCAGGCACTGAGAACATTGGGAGTACAGGGTTGCAGCTCTCTCTGCAGCAGGAGAATGTAGCTGCAATAAAGGGAAGTCAAGAAGCCAGAGTCCAGCCAGGTGCAGTGGCTCATGCCTGTAATCCCAGCACTTTGGGAGGCTGAGGTGGGTGGATCACAAGGTCAAGAGATAGAGACCATCCTGGCCAACATGGCGAAACCCCATCTGTACTAAAAATACAAAAATTAGCTGGGCGTGGTGGTGGGCGCCTGTAGTCCCAGCTACTCAGGAGGCTGAGGTAGGAGAATTGCTTGAACCCAGGAGGCAGTGGTTGCAGTGAGCCGAGATTGCACCATTGCACTCCCGCCTGGGCGACAGAGCAAGACTCCGACTCAAAAAAAAAAAAAAAGCAGCAGCAGCAGCCAGAGGCCACTCCAGCATCTCCCCTACCTGGCTTGGGTCAGGGAGAGGGCAGTGAGAAGTGAAAACTCCCAGCTACAGAAAAGGAAATATGTTGCGGGGAAGGGAGAAGGAAAGGTGTCTTCATCAATGCCGGGGCAGGGTAGATGGAGCCCTGGGCAGGGAGTTTGGACCAGGAAATCTCAATGAGGGAAATGTGCTGTCCTCACCTCTCCAAGAAGCGACTGGCCAAACAGAGTGACAGAGGGGATAAAGGTTATGCCTAGGGAGGCATGTGTCAGAGGCTATCATCCACTCTGTTGAACCCACAGTGACCAGCACCACCATCACACAAACATGCCTGCATGTGTGCACGCACGCGCAGTGTGCAAACCTGATGTCAGCCTCACTCCCTGGCTCTTCTGTCCACAAACGCTGTTTCTTTAAGTACCACTTTCAGTTCCTCCAAAGAATCTACTTAAACTCTTAAATTCCTGATCTCTATAGATTTTACTAAAGATTTCAAAGGAGATAAGATGAGAGGGTTACGTTGCACATTCTAAAGCAAACAAATTAAAATGTTTTGTTAGACATTTCCATATTTTTAAGGGCCTCCTTGGAGCTGCCAGGCTGGGAGTGAGGTTTCTCTCCCTTTCTAAACCCTGTGCCCATCTTGTCACCCTCCTGGAGCTGCCAGCAGACTTCAGATTCTTCTCCGATCTACAGAGCAGAAAAATTCAGCCAGCCCTTCCTTGTCTTCCTATCCACAGCTGCCTGCCCAGACTCATGAAACCTGACAAAATGCAAGGTCTTATCATTACCTGAACCTTGGACCTGTTCAAAAATACTAGTTCCTGAGAATAAATATCCCTGGTGTCTTCCTGCCCTTCCTGCACACCTCCAGTGGCTTATCAAAATATTTGTTTCATGCGCACACTGGGCTCTCATTTAAGAGGAATTTGGGAGAATGTTATTTTCTAATCTGCATTTCACACCAGGCTCCCCCTCCTTCCTGGGGTGCTAGTGTCAGCAGAACCTGATGGGGAAGTGAGGTCTGGGAGGCAGAGGAGGAAGGAATGAGGGGAAAGGGGAAGTTTGGGAGGAAGGCTTCTGAGAAGACTGGTGGGAGAGAAGGAGAGCCTGCAGACAGAGGCCTCCAGCTTGGTCTGTCTCCCCACCTCTACCAGCATCTGCTGAGCTATGAGCCAAACCAGGGATTTACAGGGTAGGGAGGGTGGGATAGGCAGCGGCATTAGATCGGAGGAATGAGATGGACAGACCTGGGCTGTGGGCTAGGAGGGCAGTCAGCTGGCCTAGGGTAGCCCGGGCTGGTGTCAGGGTAAGGAGAGGAAGGGAGGGATGAGGGCTGATTAATTTTTTTCACCCCACAGGAGGAAAAGCTTTCGGACTGCTGAAGGCCCAGCAGGAAGAGAGGCTGGATGAGATCAACAAGGTAGAAGGAAGAACTAAGGGGGCAGAGCCAGGGGGATGGGGCGTGGATGGGGAGGGCCTACCCTGGCTCTTATTTTCCCCTCCATAGCAATTCCTAGACGATCCCAAATATAGCAGTGATGAGGATCTGCCCTCCAAACTGGAAGGCTTCAAAGGTGAGGGGGAAACTGTAGGCGGTGGAGACAGGGCTGGGGGTAGGAGGGTTAGGATTTCCACAAGAACAAGGCAGGAACAGCAGAGATAAAAAGTTTACTTTTGTGGTAGCAAAAGGGGAACCTGCCTTTATTGCCCTCCTGCCACACTGCGGTCCCTTTCCCGGGCCTGCCTCTCTCAGCATCCCCTCTAGCTCCTTACACCCTAGCGGGGCCCCTCAACTCCCCAACCCCACTTCCTCTGCCTGCCCCTCCTCCTCCTTCCACGTTGTCTCCTCCACCTAGCAGTTGGTTGGCAACCCCTTCCTCAGTCCCCTGCTGAAAACCCTCCAGTCAGCGCTTATCCCTTCTGCTCTCTCCCCTCACCCAGAGAAATACATGGAGTTTGACCTTAATGGAAATGGCGATATTGGTGAGAAACGGGTGATTTGCGGGGGCAGGGTGGTGTGCAGGCCTAAGAAGACAGAGGTCTCTCCTACATGCTCCATTCCTCATGATTTGGGAGGGGGCCCACCTACCACAGTGGGAGGAAGGAGAATGGGGATGCGGAAGTGGGAGAGGAGAGAGAGGGTCTCCCCACCTTCTCCCCATCCCCATCCTCTGCCCCCAGATATCATGTCCCTGAAACGAATGCTGGAGAAACTTGGAGTCCCCAAGACTCACCTAGAGCTAAAGAAATTAATTGGAGAGGTGTCCAGTGGCTCCGGGGAGACGTTCAGCTACCCTGACTTTCTCAGGATGATGCTGGGCAAGAGATCTGCCATCCTAAAAATGTGAGTGTCAATTTCCAACCTCCCCTGTACTTACCTGTTTTCTCCTCCCCCATCCCTACCCTTGTCCACAGGCTCAACATTTCTACACGTTGCCCATCATCCCTTCTTCCATCCTTAGAGGGACCCTTCCAAGGTCCCGACCCCATCCCTATCCATAGTCCTGGTCCCCAGAAACTCCAACCCCTGCCCTTCCTCTTCCCCCTTCCACCCTCACATCCCCATCCCCTTCTAGCCTTTCCTAGCACCCTATGATTTATTCCCTTGAGAGGAGTGTTCCCTGATCCCTGTGCCTCTTCCCATCTCAACCAGGATCCTGATGTATGAGGAAAAAGCGAGAGAAAAGGAAAAGCCAACAGGCCCCCCAGCCAAGAAAGCTATCTCTGAGTTGCCCTGATTTGAAGGGAAAAGGGATGATGGGATTGAAGGGGCTTCTAATGACCCAGATATGGAAACAGAAGACAAAATTGTAAGCCAGAGTCAACAAATTAAATAAATTACCCCCTCCTCCAGATCAAGTCAGCTTAGTTTTTATTTGGGTGATTTTTTTCCTGGGTTTGGGAAGGAGAGACAGGTCTTGAGGGAAAGGTGGCAAGGATTTGGCCATATGAACAATCCATCAACAACGCTATAGTGTGTCCACTACAGCAGATGGTTTCACGCACCAAGGGGGATTCCAGCTGTGTAAGACAGCCTTAACCTCAAAGAATGCAGGCAGGACAAAAACACATGTCCAAACAAGGTACTCAGGCCCATGACAGATTTCATGAAGAGCAAGGAATACCATGAACCAACATTCTCCACCACTATAAGCTTTGTCACTTTGACAAATCACTCAGCCTCTGTGAGGCTTTTTTCTAAAAATGGGGATAAAGTGACCTATGCTATTGTGCCTGACATATCATAAGCCCTCAATAATGTTTAAAACTTGAATGAGCCGGGGCCGATGGCTTATGCCTGTAATCCCAGCACTTTGGGAGGATGGGGTGGGCAGATCACCTGAGGTCAGGAGTTCGAGACCAGCCTGACGAACATGAAGAAACCCCGTCTCTACTAAAAATACAAAATTAGCCTGGTGTGGTGGCGCATGCCTGTAATCCCAGCTACTTGGGAAGCTGAGGCAGGAGAATCTCTTGAACCCAGGAGGTGGAGGTTGTGGTGATCCGAGATCGCATCATTGCACTCCAGCCTGGGCAACTAAAAAGCGAACTCCGTCTCAAAAAAAAAAAAACCGAACATACAAACAAACAAAAAACACTTGAATGGGTAGATGAATGAAAGAACTGGTGCTATTAAATAAAGCAAAGAATTTACAGCTGGGCGTGGTGGCTCACGCCTGTAATCCCAGCACTTCAGGAGGCCGAAGCGGGCAGATTACCTGAAATCAGGAGTTGGAGACCAGCCTGGCCAACATGGTGAAACCCCATCTCTACTAAAATACAAAAAATTAGCTGGGCATGGTGGCAGGTGCCTGTAATCCCAGCTACTCGGGAGACTGAGGCAGGAGAATCGCTTGAACCCGGGAGGTGGAGGTTGCGGTGAGCCGAGATCACGCCATGGCACTCCAGCCTGGGTGACAAGAGTGAGACTCTGTCTCAAAAAAAAAAAAAAAAAAAAAAAAAAGACTGGAAGGAGAAACTCATTGGAGACAATGACTATGGACATCCCTTTTAAGAATTTTGCTGCAAAGGGTAACAAAACGGTATGTGTGGTAGCCGGCCGGGGAGAAGGGAGAAGAGAATCATTTTGGAAGTTTGAAAACAGAAGTCATCTTAAATCTTACTGAGCCTCTGACTAAAATTCTCATCTGATTTCTGCAAACTTTTCTGCCTTCACTTTTCATAATGAATAAGCCGCCTCCTTTATTTAGCCATATCAGCCTAGGCACAGGCCCCCAAACTCATGCCTCCACTAATCTGTTCTCTGCACCTGAGATGTACACCTTCTTCTGAAACTTGGGTAAGTTCTAACTCGTTCTTCATATCTATTTATTTATATATTTTTGACAGATATCTACTCCGATCATTCTTCATATCATTTTTTTTTTTTTTTCCTGAGATGGAGTCTCATGTTGGCCAGGCTGGTCTCCAACTCCTGACCTCAGGTGACCCACCCACCTTGGCCTCTCAAAGTGCTGGGATTACAGGCGTGAGCCACTGCTCCCGCTCCCGGCCCTTTTTTTTTTCTTTTTCTTTTTTTTTTTTTTTTGAGACGTAGTCTCACTCTGTCGCTAGGCTGGAGTGCAGTGGCGTGATCTCAGCTCACTGCAACCTCCGTCTCCCAGGTTCAAGCGATTCTCCTGCCTCAGCCTCCCAAGTAGCTGAGACTACAGGCACGCGCCACCAGTCCAGCTAATTTTTGTATTTTTAGTAGAGACGGGGTTTTGCCATGTTGGCCAGGATGGTCTCCATTTCTTGACCTTGTGATCTGCCCGCCTCAGCCTCCCAAAGTGCCAGGACTACAGGCATAAGCCACCACGCCCGGCCTCATATCTCTTAATAAGAGTTTTTCTAGAAACATTTCTCAATCACCCCAGGCATAATCATATTTTATTTCTCTACTTCTTTCTTTTTTTTTTTTTTTTGAGATAGAGTTTCGCTCTTGTTGCCCAGGCTGGAGTGCAATGGCACGATCTTGGCTCACCACAACCTCCGCCTCCCAGGTTCAAGCGATTCTCCCGACTCAGCCTCCCGAGTAGCTGGGATCATAGGCATGCGCCACCACGCCTGGGTAATTGTATTTTTAGTAGAGACGGGGTTTCTCCATGTTGGTCAGGCTGGTCTCGAACTCGTGACCTCAGGTGACCCGCCCGCCTGAGCCTCCCAAAGTGCTGGGATTACAGGCGTGAGCCACCGCGCCCATCCTTCTTTTTTTTTTTTTTTTTTTTTTTTTGAGACGTAGTCTTGCTCTGTCACCCAGGCTGGAGTGCAACCTCCGCCTCCCTGGTTCAAGGAATTCTCTGCCTCAGCTTCCCGAGTAGTTGGGATTACAGGCGCCCGCCACCACGTAGGGCAAATTTTTGTATTTTTAGTAGAAATGGGGTTTCATCATGTTGGCCAGGCTGGTCTTGAACTCCTGATCTCGTGATCCACCTGCCTAGGCCTCCCAAAGTGCTGGGATTACAGGCGTGAGCCACCGCGCCAGGCCTTATTTCTCTACTTCTATAATATCCTGTGCATTATCTCCAGCGCCTTCAAATCATAGTCATTGAATGATCTGTTGAATGGGTATAACTCTGATGGGAGCAGAGAGTTCTAGAATCGGGTAGTAAGAGACAAAGGAGGGTAACAGTACTGCATTTCACAAAATGAAACCCATTGTTAAGAAATTACAAATTCCCAATAATTTCAAATATAAAAATTTATTCATGAAAATTATAGGTTATAAAATTAAATGTCCGTCTTAGTCGATGGTTGCCCATATTTTGATGAACGAGTCATTCCTAGCCTATCTTTGTTCAAATGATTTGCATACATTATGCAAATAGGTAGAACTGCCCGAAGAATGCCTACGCTGCGTGGTGCGGACGAAACGCTTCCCGGGGCCTTTGGATTGGTCTGTCTAGCCACCTCATTTGCATGACGTAATATAATAACTGGAAGGCCCCGCCCCTCTGGTGCATTTCCCCGCTCCAACCACCTCCTCAAACTCACGGCAAAGGGATGCGAGAGCTGGAACTCTTACCAGGCCTGCGGAAACTCAGCCCTCCGGCAGCTAATCCCGCCCGCCAGCCCCCGTCCTCTCTCTCTTTCTCCCTAGCTGAAGGCGCCACGGGCCGTGTGTCGTTGCCTTCCACTTTTGGCGTCCCAACGTCTCTCCGCTCCCATCTTTCTACTAACGTCCGACGCACGCTCCGCCTCTTTCTCCCACATTCGTCGTGTAAATTCTGCGTCCCAACCGCCCAGCCGACCTGCACCGCATTCCCGCCCCCTCAACACGGCTCAACGGCCGACGCTGGGGGCCCGCCTCCTTAGCCAATCGGGGTCCTAGTGCCCTTAAGTCCCTCCTCTTTATGCAAATAACCTCCGCATGCTCCGCGCGCCCGGCCCTTTTTTTTTTTTTTTTTAAACTAAAGACAGCCCTGGAAGTAGAGGGTTAGGGTAGAAAGTGCCCCGCCCTTTATGCAAATTAAGGGGCGTGTCTAGGCGCGGAGGGAGGTGGGAGGTGGGAGGGGGTGCTCCCGGGGGCGGCGGTTGCCCGGATGGGCCGTTAGTCGGGGCTCAGCCGCGGAGTGAGCGAGGGAGACGGGAGGAGCCGAACCCGGCGCCATCCGCCGCCATCCTCCCCCGCCCCACCGCCATCCCGTCCCGGGGAGCCCCTAGGCCCGGGTCCCGGATCCCCGCGCACCCGGCCAGGTGAGTCTGGGTGAACCGTGCGCTGACGCCCTTTTCCGGCGCGGGAGAGGTGGTGGCGGTGGCGGTGGCGGCGGCGGCGGCGGTGGTGGGCCGGGGGGAGGAGAAGCTGCCATTAGCCGCCGCCATTTTGTCCTCCTGCTGCCGGGCCTGCTTGCCCCTCCCCCTCCGGTACCTCTACTCCGGGACCCGCACCTCCGGCAGTTCATTCAGGATCCGTAGTCTGCCCCTAACCACCCACCGTCTTGGCTTCAGGGGGTGACCCCTGCGCCTGGGTCCGTAACTCCCTACCCTCCGCTGCGCTCCTGGCTTTTCACCCCCATTTGTGGGCCCCCTCCCCGGCTGCCGCCCCGTGGTGGGCCGCGCCCGACGGTTCTCTCGGAAGGGCGCTTTTCCTCCATATTGGACCCCCTCCTATCATCCAGCGCTGTGTTCCCCCCTCTGGACGCCCCTCTTCGTGTCGAGCCACTCCCACTCTAGAATCCTGCTTTTATCCCAGCATCTTTGCTTTCTATGTTGCTCAGTCGCCCTATGTCTGCTTTTTCATTTTTCCTGTTCCTCGTCTCCTTTCTCCCCCAACCCCGTTTTTCTTCTTGGGCCTCTGCCCCCTTACTTCGTTGTCTACATCGTTTTTTTTTTTGCCATTCCTGTTTCCATATATTTTCCACCTGCTTTCGTATTCATTATTTTCTGTTAGTTTTGGTCTATTCGCTACATGACTCTTGTATTCGTTTTCCCTTCATATATTTATCTTCACAGATTGGCCTCCTCAAACACCTACGAAGCAACATCCATCTTATCTCTAGCTTGTCATAAAGTTCTTTCTCCCCAATTTTAGCTTTCATTCTGGGCCTGTCTGGATTTCCCTGCTTTCTTCCCCACTATTTCTCATCTCTTTACACTGTTCCCGTCCATAAACGAATGCCTGGTCACTCTGGAATGGACTGAGAGACCTGTCGTCCGGCTTGCTTAGGGAGCTGGAGGTATCGAGTAAAGAAACACTGGTGATGGACATTTTTAATGAGGATAGGAAAACGAAGATGGCTCTGGCCTTGGCCCTCTGTTTTCTGGCCCATGGTTACAGGGTGCTAAGGTGGCTCCATAATGCTTTTTCTCAGTTCTTCATATGGTAAAACAGTATTTCATCTGGAGGCGATTTTTTCCAGGAGCCAATACAGGAGCAAGTTTAGGAAAAGATGGGATATTTCAAATACTTGAGGTTCCTATAGCCTGGGAGTATGTACAGCCCTAGTTGTTCTATGAGGATTTCTCTGGTACCAACCCCCATTCCGGCTGAGCAAGCTCATAAAATCCTTAAACTCCCAGCATACCTTCCTGCAAACCTTCCCAGATGGACACGAGGCTGCTGGGCTGGGAGCCTGGGGTACAGGGCCCTGGGGGCATGATTAGGGAGCTTGTGTCCAATAAACAGGGAATCTAAAGTGTTGTTTCTTCTTCTCTGATGGAATTGTATGCTTCTTTTTTAGTTTTCTCTTGCTTGAATTTGTCCTGTTGTAAGTCTCTGAAACGATTTTGGTGGAGAGAGAAGAGATTATTACTTGTAGGGAATTACTCTTTGTAGACAGGCACAAAGGGCAGAGTGTTTATACTAGGAGGATGCTGGATTTTTACTTAGATTTCCTTGACAAAGGTGTCTGGGGGAAAGGAGGGAACATGGCATTTGAGCTATGAGGGAGCTAAGTAGATCATGGTTGCTTAAGAAGAGTGGGCAGTTTACATAGACTGGAGGAAAAGACACCAGAGGGCCTCATATCTGAGTCCCTAATGATAATGCAATGGAGTTTTTAAGTTTCTGTTATGGTCTGTACAGGGGACAGAGACTGAGACACTTGCTGTCTGGCCCACAGGCTCTGGCACGTTTTGGGGGAGGTGCCTGCAGGACCCAACATACTCAATGAGCTTCCAGCGCAATGTCCGATCGCTCGGGGCCGACTGCCAAGGGAAAGGATGGAAAGAAGTATTCCTCGCTCAACCTGTTTGATACGTATAAGGGCAAGTCCTTAGAGATCCAGAAACCCGCTGGTGAGAGTCCTGCAAAGATGCTTCTGATGGTTGAAAGCTAGGCATGCATGGGGCATACGTTTTAGAGCTCTTTAAAGGGAAGTGGCTGTAGTAGAAATACCAAAAGACTAGAGGAGATTTCCCAACTTTACACTGGGTCCTTTAAAGGGGGTGTGGGCTCTGGGTGAACACCAGTTATCCTCCTACAAAGGCGTGTCTGTGGTTCCCTGTCTTTGGACACGTAAGAATTGGAGGAAAATAAATGTGGATTTGGGAAACTTTGAGGCCAGCTTGCTTCTTGCAGGCTCATGATCAACCAATCTCACATAAAAGTATTGAATGTTACATATCTCAGCCTTCTTGATAGGGATTTCATAGATTTTTTTTTTTTTTTTTTTTTTTTTTGAGACCAAGTTTAGCTCCTGTTGCCCAGGCTGGAGTGCAATGGTGTGATCTTGACTTACCACAACCTCCACCTCCTGGGTTTAAGCGATTATCCTGCCTCAGCCTCCTGAGTAGCTGGGATTACAGGCATGCGCCACCACACCCGGCTAATTTTGTATTTTTAGTAGAGACAGGGTTTCTCCATTTTGGTCAAGCTGGTCTTGAACTCCTGACCTCAGGTGATCCGCCTGCCTCGGCCTGCCAAAGTGCTGGGATTGCAAAGTGTGAGCCACCACAATCAGCGCGATTTCAGAGATTATTAAGGGCAGGGGAAGGAATCCCTTCTAAGAGAAGTTTGGAGGAAGTAGGTAATAAAATATTCAACATGTATAAATGTGTCCCAGGATAGGAGGCCATCAGATCTCCCACATGAGGCATTTTCGACCCTCTCTCCGTCTTGTTCTCCAGTTGCCCCTCGCCATGGCCTGCAGAGTCTCGGGAAAGTTGCCATTGCCCGGCGTATGCCACCTCCAGCCAACCTTCCAAGCCTGAAAGCCGAGAACAAAGGCAATGACCCCAATGTCTCACTAGTGCCAAAAGACGGAACAGGATGGGCAAGCAAACAGGAGCAGTCCGACCCCAAGAGGTAGACAGAGGCTTGGGGGACCTAGAGTGATGGGTATTTTAACTTGAACTTCAGGGAGCATTGGGGCTTGGTTTAGTCCAGCCACGTCTGAGCCAGAGACGAAGAGGTCCCTTTCTTACCTGTTGCAGGTTCCTTGTTAAATGACTAAGGAATGGTACTAAACTTTAGCTTTTTGTCTTGGAGAGAGAGCATGAAAAAATAGACAACAGCCTACAAAGGATGACAAAATTATTTTGTCCTTATATTTGTAAATGGTAGCAATGGGCATGATTTCAGTCCTGAGTCTCCACCAGTTGGAGAAGTCAGGGAGGCATCTCAGGTGTGAATAACCTTCCCATTCTGTCCCCTCAGTTCCGATGCCTCAACCGCTCAGCCGCCGGAATCGCAGCCACTGCCGGCTTCACAGACGCCTGCCTCCAACCAGCCGAAACGACCCCCAGCAGCCCCCGAGGTACCTGGAGAACTGGAGGGGTGGGGAGGAAGAATGGTTCATAGCTGCCCCACCCACATCATTTATCATCTTTCTGAACACTTCCCCAGAACACTCCTTTGGTTCCAAGCGGGGTAAAGTCCTGGGCACAAGCCAGCGTCACCCATGGAGCACATGGAGATGGTGAGTGCAGCACTTAATTGGGGAGCTGTGTCTGGGCACCATGGGATGCATGAACCCTGCACTGTATTTTCAGCCAAGTGACCTTGGTCCTCTTTGGCTAAATCAAGGACCACCCATATTCAGTTTCATGGAGGCACATGAGCAAGTTTAAGTCTCAGTCTTATATGATGGAGTGTAGTGGTGCCAGAACTGACCTCCTTGGGGAATAAGCAGTTATTCTGTAGCGGGGTGAGTTTGAAGGCGGGAAACCTGATGGTCTGGTACCTGTCAGAGCCTTCCACTTTTTTTTTTTTTGAGACGGAGTCTCATTCTGTCACCCAGGCTGGAGTGCAGTGGTGCAATCTCGGCTCACTGCAACCTCTGCCTCCTGGGTTCAAGCGATTTTCCTGCCTCAGCCTCCAGAGTAGCGGGACTACAGGCACACGCCAACACACCCAGCTAATTTTTTGTGTGTTTTTAGTAGAGATGGGGTTTCACATGTTGGCCAGGATGGTCTCGATCTCTTGACCTCGTGATCCGCCCGCCTCAGCCTCCCAGAGTGCTGGGATTACAGGCGTGAGCCACCGCGCCCAGCCAGAGTCTTCCACTTTTATAGCATGTCCTCAGGAAATGTCTTCTGTCTCCTGTTCTGCATCCCCATCCTAATAGGTGGAAGGGCATCAAGCCTACTGTCACGATTCTCTCGAGAGGAATTTCCGACCCTGCAGGCGGCTGGCGACCAGGACAAGGCTGCCAAGGAAAGGGAGTCTGCCGAACAGTCGTCTGGGCCCGGACCAAGCCTCCGCCCCCAAAGTGAGTGGCTGCCTTTTGGCCAAGACATTACCTATTGCATCTCAGAGCTAGGTGCTGGCTTATTCACCTTCCTCCCCATCACTTTCAGCTGTGTTCACTTGTCCTCCAATCATTGATACCTCTCTCTACCTTTTCCAAAATACAGATTCTACAACTTGGAGGGACGGAGGTGGGCGTGGCCCTGATGAGCTGGAGGGCCCGGACTCCAAACTTCATCATGGTCATGATCCCCGGGGTGGGCTACAGCCTTCAGGCCCACCCCAGTTCCCTCCCTACCGCGGAATGATGCCGCCTTTCGTGAGTCTTGGTGTCTTGTCTTGGAACGATTACACTGGAAGCTGGAGAGCTAGGAATCAGGACTTAGTCTTTGACCTATGAGATAGAAGGGAGGGTGGGAGGATGATTGATAGCAGGCTTAAGGAGCTAGAAGGGTATATGACTGTCCCTCTGAGCAGCTACTGTTGGACCCTTTTACAGATGTATCCCCCATATCTCCCGTTCCCTCCGCCCTATGGACCCCAGGGGCCTTACCGATACCCCACTCCTGATGGGCCCAGGTGAGCAATCCAGGTCTGGGTTTGTGGCTGGGGGCAGGGGAAGCTTATTGGGGGAGGAGATGGTTTTCTAGCCAGGAGGCTCAGTCTAGGATCAGTCTCGCATGTGGTTATACAACATGCCATATTTCATTTTCTTTTTTGTGTACAGCCGTTTTCCCCGTGTGGCGGGCCCCCGAGGCTCAGGGCCACCAATGCGCTTAGTAGAGCCTGTGGGTCGTCCCTCTATTCTCAAAGAGGATAATCTCAAAGAGTTTGATCAGTTGGATCAGGAGAATGATGATGGTTGGGCAGGTAAGTGGATATTAAGGGTCAAGAATTTGGATCTTGAAAGGCAAAACCTAATGAGGAAAAAAAAATACAGGGTTATGTGGGTGAAAGGCAGACATTGAAGTGTAGGAAGACCAGGCCCAATGGCTCACATCTGTAATCCCAGTGCTTTGGGAGTGTTAGGTGAGAGGATCGCTTGAAGCCAGGAGTTCAAGACCAGCCTGGGCAACACAGCAAGACCCCCCACCTCTACAAAAAAAAAAAAATTTTTTAGTTGGGTGTGGACTGTGCATCTGTGGTCCCAGCTACTCTGGAGGTTGTGGTGGGAGGATCAGTTGAGCCCAGGAGTTGGAGGTCACAGTGAGCTATGATCGTGCCACTGAACTCCATCCTGGGCAACAGAGCGAGACTTTTAAAAGGAAAAAAAAAAAAGAGTAGGGGAGGATGGATGGGGAATACCAAGTCCTTGCAAAGTGGTGAGAGGAGTAAGAATGACAAGACTTCATTGGTGGATCTAGACTTCGGAGGGAAGGATATTGGCATTGGTAGTCCATCTTGTTACATAGTTCCAGACTACCTCCCAAGATTGGAGGGCAGAATGCTTGGGTTACTAATACTCATATTTCCCCTCAGGGGCCCATGAAGAGGTTGACTACACTGAAAAGCTCAAGTTCAGCGATGAGGAAGATGGGCGAGACTCTGATGAGGAGGGAGCTGAGGGCCAGTGAGTTAGGGCCATCAGGGGAGAAGAGGAGGGGGTCTTGGTTTGTATTTTGGTAATATACTCTTAGAGGAGTATATTAGTTGCAGCTGATTTTAATTTCACTGTTGATCTGCTCACAGCAGGGATTCCCAATCAGCTTCTGGTGAGGAACGGCCCCCTGAAGCAGATGGCAAAAAGGGCAACTCCCCCAACAGCGAACCGCCCACTCCTAAGACGGCCTGGGCAGAAACCTCTCGGCCTCCAGAGACAGAGCCGGGACCTCCTGCCCCAAAGCCTCCCCTACCCCCACCTCACCGGGGCCCCGCCGGGAACTGGGGCCCCCCTGGGGACTACCCAGTGAGTGTCTCCAATAAGGGATTGAGAGGGTCAGCTGTGGGAAATTGGTGTCAGCTGAGTAATTGAAGCGGTTGTGATATAGAGGAAGGGGGGTGCTAAAAATGGGCTGTGTGAAGTGCCAGGCTGCAGAACATCCTGGGAAGCTTTTAAATATCTTTGGTAATAGGGGAGTCTGGGTAAGAAGTGAGAAACTGGGATGCTAATGAGGAAAGAAGAAAAAGGAGCCCTGGGTGTTTGGGTTTCGGAAGGAGAGAGGGAACAGAAAAATAAAAAGACTAGGGTGGCTAGATAGCTGGATCTGTTAGTATGCATCAGTAGTCCAAGCTACTCAGCAGGCTGAAGCAGAAGGATCACTTGAGCCCAAGTTCAAGACCAGCCTGGGCAACATAGCAAGACGTGGTCTCAAAGAAGACCAGGATAATGAGTTTGTCACCACCCAGAGAGATCAACCCCAAAGCCTGGGTCGTTGCATCCTGCAAGTAGCGACAGTTGATTTGTTGTAAAAGAGATGATAGAAAGCATAGTAACTGATTCCCCTGGCCCTGCTGGGTCTTGCCAATTGACAGGATCGTGGGGGTCCTCCCTGCAAGCCCCCAGCACCTGAAGATGAGGATGAGGCATGGCGGCAGCGACGAAAGCAGTCGTCATCTGAGATTTCCCTGGCAGTGGAGCGGGCCCGGCGACGGCGAGAAGAAGAGGAGCGGCGCATGCAAGAAGAGCGCCGGGCAGCCTGTGCTGAGAAGCTCAAGCGACTCGATGAAAAGTTTGGGGCACCTGACAAGCGGCTCAAAGCAGAGCCTGCTGCCCCACCTGCTGCCCCTTCTACCCCAGCTCCACCACCTGCAGTCCCTAAAGAACTCCCTGCACCTCCAGCTCCACCTCCAGCATCAGCCCCAACACCAGAGAAAGAACCTGAAGAGCCAGCACAGGCCCCTCCTGCCCAATCTACTCCTACTCCAGGTGTGGCTGCGGCTCCCACTCTGGTGAGTGGTGGTGGCAGTACCAGTAGCACCAGCAGTGGCAGCTTCGAAGCCAGCCCAGGTATGGAGATGGGGATAGGTACTACCAGATGTCAGATCACTGCTTCAAGGTGCTTAAAGGTGCAGGGTGGTAAGGCTGGGGATAAATGAAGTAGAAGGCAGTTGTTTTGGTTTATTGGACTATCAGTGATAGTGTTCTATCATTTGTATATCTGAAGGAGGGAAGGTTTTGTCTGGAATCTTAGGTTGTAGTCTAATACCATTTCTTGGCAGAGTACTGTAGCTCACGCCTATAATCCCAACACTTAGGGAGGCTTGGGGTGGAGGATCGCTTGAGCCTAGGGAGTTTGAGACCAGCCTGGGCAACAAAGCAAGACCCTGTCGGCCAGGCATGGTGGCTCACACTTGTAATCCCAGCACTCTGGGAGGCCGAGGCGGGCAGAACATGAGGTCAGGAGTTCAAGATCAGCCTGGCCAACATAGTGAAACCCGTCTCTACTAAAAATACAAAAATTAGCCAAGTGTGGTGGCATGTGCTTGTAGTCCCAGCTGCTTGGGAGGCTGAGGTAGTAGAATCGCTTTAACCCGGGAGGCAGAGATTTCTGTGAGCCAAGACCATGCCATTGCACTCCAGCCTGGGTGACAGAGCAAGACTCTGTCTCAAAAAAAAATCCTGTCTCACAAGAAATACATAAATAAAAATGAAAACTATTTCCTATAGGCCAAGACTGAAGAAAGTACTGTTGTTCTAATGGTTTCATAGAAAGTTAATGCCACCACCATAGGCTCATGAGAGGCCATGAAGTGCTTTAATGGGTCTTAAATGGGAGGGGCTTCAATAGAATAGATGTTGAATAGAATATTTTAGTCTTAAGGGAGCTAGAGATGAGACGTGAGATTCCTGGGGTGTTCATGGAGTGTCTATTGTTGGACTAGATCACTCTGTTGTGTTTTTTCCGATGCAGTGGAACCACAACTGCCCTCAAAAGAGGGTCCTGAACCACCAGAAGAGGTTCCTCCTCCTACCACACCCCCAGTTCCAAAGGTGGAACCCAAGGGTGATGGGATTGGTCCCACCCGCCAGCCCCCTAGTCAGGGCTTGGGCTACCCCAAATATCAGAAGTCGTTGCCTCCTCGTTTCCAGCGGCAGCAGCAGGTGAAATCAAGTTGTTTACCCTCTAAGGGCTGCTTTTCTTCCTGGCTTCGGTCCCTAATTCTCTTCATAAGTTACCTTCTGGGTCCCTTTGCTTCTTTGTCCAGTTGTCTCCATTGTCACGCCAATTTCCCCTAGTCCAAGTTTTTTCTTTGCTGATTCCTTTGTCCATGTGTGCTTTGAGCCTCTCTCATCTTGTCTTTCCTCCTTTCCTAGGAGCAGCTCCTGAAGCAGCAGCAGCAGCACCAGTGGCAGCAGCATCAACAGGGCTCTGCCCCTCCTACCCCAGTGCCCCCATCACCACCACAGCCTGTGACCCTGGGGGCTGTGCCAGCTCCACAGGCTCCACCCCCGCCCCCCAAGGCCCTGTACCCAGGTGCTCTGGGCCGGCCCCCACCCATGCCCCCAATGAACTTTGATCCCCGATGGATGATGATTCCTCCTTATGTGGACCCCCGGCTCCTCCAGGGTCGTCCCCCTCTAGACTTCTACCCTCCTGGTGTGCATCCCTCTGGTAAGGGGGCATGGGAGGAGTGAGAAACAGGAAAGTCCCCTCAGTCTTAGGCATTGGATATTAGGGTCTTACTGTGATTCTGGTACGATAGGTTTTGCCCATCATAGTGATGAGGGAAGGGCATATGCTTAGCACTGCTGAGATAGCTCTGTTGCAAAAATGGGCTTAGTTAAGAAATAAGCAGTGGTTGGCCAGGCATTGTGGCTCACGCCTGTAATCCCAGCACTTAGGGAGGCCGAGGTGGGCAGATCAGCTGAGTTCAGGAGTTCGAGACCACCATGGCTAACGTGGTGAAACCCCATTTCTACTAAAAATACAAAAAAGCCGGCGTGGTGGCGCTCGCCTGTAGTCCCAGCTACTCGGGAGACTGAGGCAGGAGAAACGCTTGAACCCAGGAGGTGGAGGTTGTAGTGAGCCGAGATTGTGCCATCGCACTCCAGCTTAGGCAACGAGCGAAACTCCGTCTCAAAAATGAATTGAATGAATAGCACAACTCCATCTCAAAAATGAATGAATGAATGAAAGAAGCAGTGGTCCTTCATTTGCCAGGATTTATTTGGGGTGGGTTGATTCTCTTGTAGGGAATCTGAGTGGATAACCTTGTTATATAAGAGCAGGCAAGGCCCGGACCTACTGGGAACAAGAGATGGAAGAGCTGACTTGACCGCGAGGGGAGATGCTTTTTGGGCTGGAGGGCTTGTGACATGAATAGGATTATTTTTCTTTTTCTTTGGTTTCTTCAGGCCTAGTTCCCCGAGAGCGTTCAGACAGTGGGGGCTCAAGCTCAGAGCCATTTGACCGTCATGCACCTGCTATGTTACGGGAACGGGGCACTCCACCGGTGGATCCAAAGTTGGCCTGGGTGGGAGATGTCTTCACCGCCACACCCGCTGAACCCCGCCCACTTACCTCACCTCTGCGCCAGGCTGCGGATGAGGATGACAAGGGGATGAGGTGAGTCTTGGTCATGAGAAATGGGTGAGTTCACAGTGAAAGGATCTAGGCCTGGGAGAAAGGTACTTTGGGTTAGTGGTAGGGATAGGGATGAACGGGAAAGGAGAGGCTGGATGGAGTGGCTCATGCCTGTAATCCCAGCATTTTGGGAGGCTGAGGCAAGAAGATTGCTTGAGCCCAGCAGTTCGAGACTAGCCTCGGCAACTGGATGCCATCTCTGCCAAAACAAACAGAAAAATAGTAAAAGAGAGTCTGCATCATAATAAAGTGTTCTTTTCCCACCTAGTTCTGGTTTTCCTGAGATACTTATTTCCATTCTTTCTGTCTGTCTCTTCAGGAGCGAGACTCCTCCAGTACCTCCCCCACCACCCTATCTGGCCAGTTATCCAGGCTTTCCTGAGAATGGAGCCCCTGGGCCCCCAATCTCTCGCTTTCCTCTGGAGGAACCAGGGCCCCGTCCACTCCCCTGGCCCCCAGGCAGTGATGAAGTGGCCAAGATACAAACTCCACCACCCAAGAAGGAGCCCCCTAAGGAGGAGACTGCACAGCTGACGGGGCCAGAAGCAGGCCGAAAGCCTGCCCGCGGAGTCGGGAGTGGAGGCCAGGGCCCCCCACCACCACGCAGAGAGAGTCGCACAGAGACCCGCTGGGGCCCTCGTCCAGGGAGCAGTCGTCGTGGAATCCCTCCAGAGGAGCCAGGGGCCCCACCCCGCCGGGCTGGGCCTATAAAGAAACCTCCA
Organism: Homo sapiens; assembly: GCF_000001405.40. Lineage (NCBI taxonomy): Eukaryota > Metazoa > Chordata > Mammalia > Primates > Hominidae > Homo > Homo sapiens. Next base: position 2,887,360 of record NT_167248.2, read on the forward strand.
CCACCTACAAAAGTAGAAGAGCTGCCTCCCAAGCCCCTCGAACAGGGGGATGAAACCCCCAAACCCCCAAAGCCAGACCCACTCAAGATAACCAAGGGGAAGCTAGGGGGCCCCAAGGAGACCCCACCCAATGGAAATCTTTCCCCTGCCCCAAGGCTTCGGAGGGACTATTCGTATGAAAGAGTGGGTCCTACCTCTTGCCGGGGTCGGGGCCGAGGCGAGTATTTTGCCAGAGGGAGGGGTTTTCGGGGGACCTATGGGGGACGAGGGCGGGGAGCCCGAAGCCGGGAATTCCGCAGTTACCGAGAGTTTCGAGGAGATGATGGGCGTGGAGGTGGGACAGGGGGACCAAACCACCCTCCTGCTCCCCGAGGCCGCACTGCCAGCGAGACACGGAGCGAGGGTTCAGAGTATGAGGAAATCCCCAAGCGGCGCCGGCAGCGGGGCTCAGAAACAGGCAGCGAGACCCATGAGAGTGATCTGGCTCCTTCAGACAAGGAGGCTCCCACACCCAAGGAGGGAACACTCACCCAGGTCCCTCTCGCTCCCCCACCACCAGGAGCCCCACCTTCACCAGCCCCAGCCCGCTTCACTGCCCGGGGTGGGCGAGTCTTCACTCCCAGAGGGGTGCCATCTCGCCGGGGCCGAGGAGGAGGGAGGCCCCCTCCTCAAGTTTGCCCAGGCTGGAGCCCTCCAGCCAAGTCTCTGGCTCCCAAGAAACCTCCCACAGGCCCTTTGCCACCAAGTAAGGAGCCTTTGAAAGAGAAGTTGATCCCAGGGCCTCTGTCCCCTGTGGCGCGCGGAGGCAGCAATGGAGGTAGCAATGTGGGCATGGAAGATGGGGAGCGACCCCGAAGGAGGCGACATGGGAGGGCTCAGCAGCAGGATAAACCGCCTCGTTTCCGGAGGCTGAAGCAGGAACGGGAGAATGCCGCAAGGGGGTCTGAGGGCAAGCCCTCCCTAACCCTTCCAGCCTCCGCTCCTGGACCTGAGGAGGCCCTCACAACAGTCACAGTGGCCCCAGCACCTCGCCGGGCAGCTGCCAAGTCTCCTGATCTGTCAAACCAGAACTCAGACCAAGCCAATGAGGAATGGGAGACTGCATCAGAGAGCAGTGACTTCACCAGTGAGCGCCGAGGGGACAAAGAGGCACCCCCACCAGTACTGCTGACACCCAAGGCTGTGGGAACTCCTGGGGGAGGTGGAGGTGGAGCCGTACCAGGTATTTCAGCCATGTCCCGCGGAGATCTGAGCCAGAGAGCCAAGGATTTGAGTAAACGGAGCTTCTCAAGTCAGCGGCCAGGCATGGAACGGCAGAATCGGCGCCCTGGCCCAGGGGGCAAGGCTGGCAGCAGTGGCAGCAGCAGTGGAGGAGGCGGTGGGGGTCCTGGAGGAAGGACCGGGCCAGGACGAGGCGACAAGAGGAGCTGGCCCTCTCCCAAGAACCGAAGGTGGGTAGGAACAAACAAATTTATTGTGGTTTAAAAATTGGAGGAGGGGGGAAAAGCCTGAGGGAAAGATAAGTTTGGGTGTAGTGGAGATTGTGGCCTGAGGGGCCATGGGCTCTAGAATGTCAGTAGGATTTCCATGTCTGGCTAAGGCAACTGGAAAGCGGTTGGTAGGGTGTTAGAGTCAAGAACACCCACCTATGTATTCATTGCTGGTTCTTTGCTTTCCAGTCTGTGCATCTGTACGCATAGGAACCCTTAGAAGGACTCAAAAACACCTGGACTTTAATAGGGAAGAGAATAGGTTGTAAGCAGAAGTTGGGAAACATAACTTGTGGGAAAAAGTAACGATTTAGTGGATACTGGAGCTAATGCTCTGTTTTCTCCAGTCGTCCTCCAGAGGAGCGTCCCCCGGGGCTTCCCCTGCCTCCCCCACCTCCCAGCAGTTCTGCTGTCTTCCGCCTGGACCAAGTTATCCACAGCAACCCTGCTGGCATCCAACAGGCTCTGGCCCAGCTTAGTAGCCGTCAAGGGAGTGTAACTGCACCAGGGGGTCATCCAAGGCACAAGCCTGGGCCTCCCCAAGCCCCTCAGGGCCCCTCTCCTAGGCCCCCAACCCGATACGAGCCCCAGAGGGTCAACAGCGGCCTCAGTTCTGGTAAGCTGGAGGGGTTATGGGTGGGAATATCTCCATCCCCAGAGAAGGTCAAGTGCTGGAGGGAGCGGGTGGAGAACCTGGCCTAGGGGCCCTGCTGCTGGGTGCGTTTCTGCAGGGAGCAAGGGTAGAAGAATTGGGAGGTGGAGTAGAGAGGAAAAGTTAGGGTCAGTGGCAGAGCCAGGCAGATGCTGACCCTTTTTCTCTTTCCCAGACCCCCACTTTGAGGAGCCGGGGCCAATGGTGAGAGGGGTGGGTGGGACTCCTCGGGACTCTGCCGGGGTTAGTCCCTTTCCCCCTAAACGTCGGGAGCGGCCTCCCAGAAAACCAGAGCTGCTACAGGAGGTAAGGGATGGGTTTGAGATTGTGCTTCACTGCACTCTTACTCGTGAAAATTCTTCTGGGTTATGTTTTCTCTGTTCTCTTTCCTGTTTCTTTCACTGTGTTTTTACTCCAGAATTCTCAGTATTAGTCTCCCATGTGTCTCCCTTGTTGTCCCCACACCCTGTGTCACCCCACTCTGTCCTGGCTTCCTATAATTCCCAATTCCCACCCAATTCATGTTTTGCTTCTGGCCCTTCTCATCTGTAGGAATCTTTGCCACCTCCTCATAGCTCTGGATTCTTGGGCTCTAAGCCTGAGGGCCCAGGCCCTCAGGCAGAGTCCAGAGATACAGGCACAGAGGCCCTGACCCCTCACATCTGGAACCGTTTACATACTGGTGAGTAAAGCTGAGTGAAAGGACTATGGTAGAAGGGTTAAGAATGAGAGGGGCTTCTGAACTGTCATCTCCTCACTTCTCTTCTGGTTGGTGCTCCCTTCTCCAGCCACTAGCCGAAAGAGTTACCGGCCCAGCTCCATGGAGCCTTGGATGGAGCCCCTGAGTCCTTTTGAGGATGTGGCTGGCACAGAAGTGAGTGAGGGTGGGAGGGTGTGTCTGAGCTGGGACTTTTTTGAGCACTGGTCATACCCCCCACCTGCTCTGGGTTGAGTCTGGAGCTGTTCTCTCACTTGGCTGTCCCCTTTCTGCAGTTTGTATGTGTGCATCAGTCAGGTATTGGGGTGCTTTCTACCCTGACTTAACTAGCTCCTTCTCCACTCCTCTCAGATGAGTCAGTCTGACAGTGGGGTGGACCTGAGTGGGGATTCTCAGGTGTCATCAGGTCCCTGCAGCCAGCGAAGTTCCCCTGATGGAGGACTCAAGGGGGCAGCAGAGGGACCCCCCAAGAGGCCTGGAGGCTCCTCACCCCTGAATGCTGTTCCTTGTGAGGGTCCACCTGGCTCTGAACCTCCTAGGAGACCACCACCTGCCCCCCACGATGGGGACAGAAAGGTAAAAGACCAAAAAAGGATAAGGGGAATGTTTCCAGGAATCTGACTTTGGCCCTACCTTTTTCTGCTTTTTCTCTCTGCGTGTGTGTTCTGGGCATTCCAATTTGGATTTCCCTTTCCCTCCCCCAATGCACTTTACTGTGTGCCCAATCCAGGAGCTGCCCCGGGAGCAGCCTCTGCCCCCTGGCCCCATTGGCACAGAACGATCACAGCATACAGACCGAGGCACAGAGCCTGGCCCCATTCGGCCATCCCATCGACCTGGTCCCCCAGTCCAGTTTGGCACTAGTGACAAGGTCTGTGTGGGCTGGATCTGGGTATCCTGAGTTGGGTGGAGAGAAGGGAAGGACTAAAGGTGGGACATAGAGGACACATGTCTGTCACGGGACAATGTCTCCTGCCTTCTTGTGATCACAGGACTCAGACTTACGCCTAGTGGTAGGAGACAGCTTGAAAGCAGAGAAGGAGCTAACAGCATCAGTCACTGAGGTAAGTGGGAGTAAGAGTTTGGTGGAAAGGCCCAAGATTTCTGGGGAAGATTGCTGGGAGTGACCAGGGCGTCCAGGATGCCAGACATCCCTCTCCACGAGGCCTCTCCTTCCCAGGCCATTCCTGTATCACGAGACTGGGAGCTGCTTCCCAGTGCTGCTGCCTCTGCTGAGCCACAATCCAAGAACCTGGATTCTGGGCACTGTGTCCCGGAGCCCAGCTCCTCAGGCCAGCGCCTGTATCCTGAGGTTTTCTATGGCAGTGCTGGGCCTTCCAGTTCTCAGGTAGGCCCCGCTTCCCATTGCATGACCCCTTCAGTGAATAATAATTTTTTTCTGCCTGGTATGTATTTATAATCAAGCCTTTCTACGTTGCAGAGTTGTGAGATACCACTTTGTCACATCATTTTTCTCCCTACTTTTTGCTTCTATGGGTGGGATGGTGATCTTTTTTCTTGACCACAGATACTAAAGCTGTTTCAACCGTGCTCCTCTCCTGCAGATCTCTGGGGGAGCCATGGACTCTCAGTTACATCCAAACAGTGGAGGCTTCCGCCCTGGGACACCCTCACTGCACCCTTACAGGTAAGACTCGATGCCTGTGGATCACAGAAGTACTTGGAGATGTGTTTCGGGGAGAGGGAAGGGGAAGACACAGTTCTAGGGTACTAGAAGCTAGTGGACTTAAGGCATTGCTAGGACTCTGGCTTCCTAACAGCTTTTCTCCCCACAATTTATTTTCAGATCACAGCCCCTATACCTACCCCCCGGCCCAGCCCCTCCCTCAGCACTGCTCTCTGGGGTAGCTCTCAAGGGCCAGTTTCTGGATTTCTCCACAATGCAAGCTACAGAGCTGGGGAAGTTGCCGGCTGGAGGAGTTCTCTACCCTCCACCTTCCTTCCTCTACTCTCCGGCTTTCTGCCCCAGTCCTTTGCCTGACACATCGTTGCTTCAGGTAAGAGGGGGGCAGGTATTAGATATTGGGGGATAGGGTAGGGAGAATGATTTTGTGGGGGTTGATATATTTCTCCCTGTTTCCCGACAGGTACGCCAGGATCTGCCATCCCCTTCGGATTTTTATTCTACTCCTCTGCAGCCTGGTGGCCAAAGTGGCTTTCTCCCTTCAGGGGCTCCTGCCCAGCAGGTATATTGTATCTTCACACTTCCCCTTCATTTGATTTCTCTGTCCAGTTGCTGGCTTTGATTTTCCCTGGTTTTCTGACATTCCTCCCTGCCCCCAACATGCACACCCAAATTTCTTGTTACAGATGCTTCTACCCATGGTAGACTCACAGCTGCCTGTGGTGAACTTTGGCTCCCTGCCGCCAGCACCACCTCCTGCCCCACCTTCCCTTTCTCTGTTACCTGTGGGCCCTGCTCTGCAGCCCCCCAGCCTGGCTGTGCGGCCCCCACCTGCTCCTGCTACTCGGGTGCTGCCTTCACCTGCCAGGCCCTTCCCCGCTAGCTTGGGGCGAGCAGAGGTAAGGTACAGGAACTGAGGGGCTAGGGAGCGCCAAGACTTGGGAGTAGGGATTCTGTATTTCAAGGTAGGCAGCTCATGATTTTTTTCCCCTCAGCTGCATCCAGTGGAACTAAAGCCGTTCCAGGATTATCAAAAACTGAGCAGCAACCTTGGGGGACCTGGATCATCACGGACTCCCCCAACTGGAAGGTGAAACGGAATAGGGATGTGGACTTTCCAAGTGCTTCCTTACTTTGGAACCAGGGTCTGGATCCTAGGCTTGCCTTAGACGCCCTTCTTCCCTTAGGTCCTTCTCTGGCCTCAATTCCCGTCTCAAGGCCACGCCTTCCACCTACAGTGGAGTCTTCCGCACCCAGCGCGTCGACCTTTACCAGCAGGTGAAGGAGAAACCCTTGTGGCCCCAACTCTAAATTCGAGTTGCCACCTGATTTCCTGTCCTTCCGTCTCATCGCTGACCTCTCACTGTGACTCACTGTTTAACACATGCCTGTCCCCTAGGCCTCCCCACCAGATGCCCTGCGCTGGATACCTAAGCCTTGGGAGCGGACAGGGCCGCCACCTCGAGAAGGGCCCTCCCGACGGGCAGAGGAGCCTGGGTCCCGAGGGGACAAGGAGCCTGGGTTGCCCCCACCCCGCTGAGGGAGTTCCTCTTGCCCCCTACCCCCGGGGCTTGTATATAGATTATAAATATATAAGGGGGAAAGGGGTGGGCGGGGAGGGGTTCTGGGGCTGGGGCCTCACTTCCCCTCCTCCCCCTTCCCCTGGTCCCCTGTCCCTGGGGCTGTTTGTTAAAAAAGAGTAATAAAAGGATTTAAAAAAAAAAACTTCTACAATGATTTGGGGGATGAGTTGTTTGCATTGTCTTAAAGCATGGTGCTGAGTGATCTGTAGTTTCAGTCAGGGAAATATTCATTACTTATTCCAGTGAGCTGTTGAAACTAAAAACATGACCATCGTATTGGATCTTTAAATTTTTGTGAGTCTGGAATTTGGGCTGAGCTCAGCTGGATAAATCTGCTTTTTTGTGCCAGTGAGCGAGGTCAACTGGTTATCAGTCTGCAGCTGACACCTGGGCTGGTCCCAATATGGCTTCCTTTGCATATCTAGGGCCTTGGTGGGACATCTGTAACATTACTGGGTTATCAACCAGTGTCTTCACATGGACTCTCCAGCAGGCCTGTTAAATGTCCGTGAGCTCATGTTCCAAGAGGTCTAGCTGGAATTTTCTAAGCTTATGCCATGCTTAGTTGATAGAGCACTAAACTAGCCAAGGTAGGGGATGGGGGGGTTTAGAAGGGACTTCAACTGCATCTCAAAGGGACTAGCAAAGAATTTGCAGCCATGGGACTTCAGTTCTTTATGATGAACTAAGGGGAAATCTCTGTTAAGGCCTCAATGTTGGAGCACACTTAAGGGGCTCTTTGAATTGGATAGACCAATTCCAGCATTGTCAAACTAAGTGGGATTTCACATGGTAACGCTGCATGCTAGTTATGCTAAAGACTATACTTAGGTCTGCAGCTGCTCAGAAACTTTTTTTGATGGGTAATTTGAGAGCTCTATGCTAGTGTGCACCTGGAATATGCTCCCAACTCAAAATACAGGTTTTTTATTTATATATAAAGTGCTTTCGCACAAAAAATACAAACATCAGGCTGGGCGCGGTGGCCCAGGCCTGTAATTCCAGCACTTTGGGAGGCCAAGGCGGGTGGATCACAAGGTCAGGAGTTCGAGACCAGCCTGGCCAATATGGTGAAACCCTGTCTCTACTAAAAATACAAAAATTAGCCGGGCGTGGTGGCGGACGCCTGTAGTCCCAGCTACTCAGGAGGCTGAGGCATGAGTGAGAATCACTTGAACCCGGGAGGTGGAGGTTGTAGTGAGCCGAGCTCGAGATCGGGCCACTGCACTCCAGCCTGGGAGACAGCAATACTCTGTCTCAAAAAAAAAAAAAAACATCAAAACTGGCTTGTACAATTTAGCGTGCTGAGTAGAACACAACAGTGTTCCAAGGAAGTATTAATTTAAAAAAGTTCACACAAGATTAAGGGACACACTACCTAATGGAGACAATGTAGAGAGAAAGCAGCCAGAAAAATCCGACTTTTATTTCTTAAATACTGTGAAGGAAGAGGGGGGAAACGGTCCCCTGATGAGGAAGGGCCATAGAGCAAAGAAAGAGCTAAGGATCATCAGCAAAGGCCCGCTGGGCATTGGGGAAGCGCTGGGGACTGTAGTTGGGGTCTTCCTGCAGTCGTTTTTGTATATCAGACCGGAGCTAAAGAGAAAAAGTAAGCAGGTTGGAGAAACGCTGGCCAAGTCCCTATGATCCCAGCAAGCACACAAGGCCATCCCTCAGAAGCTAACATTTCCCCCCCCCAAGCACACTGTCAAATAGCCCGGGGTGGCACTGTCAAGCCTTCCCAGATGCCAAAGGGGAAAACAAATGGTAGCACCAGGCTGACCAGTTCATCGCTGAAGGGATCCAGGGAAGAGGGACCCTAGCCCAACCCCTCCCACTAGACCATCCCTATTCTGCTTCAAGGTGGCACCTGCTGCCTGTAGCTCTCCTGAACCTCTGGTGCCTCCAGGTCCCGGCTCAGGCTCTCGGGGCTCGTCAGGGGCCGAGCTCCGGCTGCCTTAGCTGCCCGGCTCACAGCCTCTGAGAGAAGCAGCTGGGGGCCCTCACCCTGCATCGTCTGGGGGACAGGGGGTTGGGAGGGAAAAGAGGATCAACGTCAGATCCAGTGCCACCATCCGGCTCACCCTTTCCATGAGTCAACCACTCCACTGAGTCTCCATGCTAGTGGAGAGAGGGGAAATTAAGAGTCCAGGATGTGGTTTTTACAGCAGAAATGCCTTCCTAATTCTCTTTGGCACTAGCCAAAACTAAAGTGAATGTGCTTGAACGTGCTCTTCAAAACGAAAGGCAGAAGGGGTCAAGCCATCCGGGATTCAGAGCTAGGTAATCCACAAGAGGAAACCCACCTTAAAGGAAAATGGGATCTAAGCACATGGGGATTAGGCAGCTGAGCAACTAATACAGGACTGCTAGCAAACAGACTAAGGTCAAGTCCTGTATGGTTATGCAACAACCAAGAGCAAGTCTGAATCCCAGAAAAAGTTTCCTCATTAAACGAGGGGAGGGGAGACTGAATAACAAGAGCTCCCACCATCTCTACATAGTTTGATTCCAGGCATGACGGGGAAACCTGGACAGAGAGAGAGGCTTAGGGAAGAGGAAAACCAACCTTGCGTCTCTTGGCAGGCATACCACTGAGGTAGGCATCACTCAGAGGGGGCTGCGGTTTCACCTTCCGCTGGCTCTGAATGTCCTGCTGGATAATAGGGACCCATTCCTGGGGAGGAAAAGAGAAAATAGTAATGTCCTTGACTTTCAGCTGCCATGACCCACTGGATTACTTCCTGACACTTACTGGGGGGACTGCAGCTGCCCAAGGTTCTGTCTCAGCTGAAGCTCCATCCTGTTCATCCCGGGAGCCCCCCTCAGGAGCAGGAGGTGGACCTCGGGACATGGCCTCTTCTGCTGTTGTTCCAGGGGCTGGGGAAGCATTCTCCCGCTGGGTGTCAGATGGCGGGAAGAGCCAGGCTTCAGAATTTTTAGCCTCCAAACCTTTCTCCCCCAGCCCTCCACTCCACATTATCTGGCCCCTCAACCTCCCCCTCTCTAGAGTACCTGAGGCTCAGGGGAAGCTCTTTCTGCTCCCTGAACTTCCATTGGCTCCTCAGGAAGTGGCTGTGAAATTAAAGAACACCATACTTCCTCTCAGATCTCTCCAGTTCTCTCAAGTACCCTGACCCCATCGCCCAACAGGTCCCTTACCTGGGGGGGATCACCAACCCTGCGAACGTATCTGAGAATGGCATCAGGGCCTACAGGCATGTGCTCCAGTACCACCTGAAGCCTCAGTCCCATCATAGTGGTCAGCCAGCTCACCAAGGAGGGATTCACCCCACGAGACATACGACGCTGAGGGACAGAAAGCAGATTTAGAACACAAAACCCTCAACCACCTTTAGAAATAGATTAGATCCAGGTTACAGAATGTCAGTTTAGAAAAGAAAAATGAAAACTGCAGAGAATGGAAACCTCAGGAAACAAAAGGCTAAGGATCTGGGGCTAGGTGGTGCTTACAATTCGGCCATTGATAACAGCAGCAAGCTCCATCTGCTGTCCCCCCAAGCAGTGCAGGTTTAGGGCCAGGCATTCAAACAGGCCTTGGTTACACAACTCCAGCAACCGGGCCCCAAATCCACTATCTGTGGGCAAAATACAAGGAGGGAATGCTGGCACGTGGCAGCCCTGCACATGCAACAGGCCCCACTTGCCCCCGCCTGGCCAGCCCCTGACCTGTGCAATGCAGCACATGCGCAGCAATGCTATTAAACTGCTCTTGGAGAAATTCCAGGTTTGTCCGGATGATGTCCACACCTGGCTGAACCTGCACCAAGGACTGAGAGACAAGATAACACAAAGATCCCAAAATCAAGAATCATAAGACTGGGAGTGGAGGAGGCAGCTGCCTCGACCAGACCCAGGAGAGGAAAGGAATAGAGAAGGGTTACTCACAAAACTCTCCCGCACATACTCTTCTAGCCCCGTGATCAATGTGTGGGTTGCCATCTGTGGAGGAAACAGAACAGGTTTAGTTCAAAGCCTCAGTCCTCCCAAGACTTCCACCTCGACCCCAACAAGTCCAGGGCTTGTGTGGGGGCAATTGGAGCTTTACCTGGCAGAGAAGCAGTCAGAAATAAGGAATAAAATGTGCAAAAGAGGAGAGTTCTGGGGCCCCTGGCCTTCATTTACCCGGATGTTACTGGGTGTGGGCTCCTGACCACCCAGGTAGTGCTGGTGGAAGAAGGATCGCAGCTGGGGCTGGAGCCGTTGTAGTGGCTGGAAATGCCCATGGAGAAGCATCACTACGTCCACCATAGAGAAGTTCTGGCACAGAAGAGAAAGCAAGGCCCCAAAGAATCCTGGGGGACAAGGGCAGATGTTAGCAATGGCCTTTACCACCTGGCCTGCCCACCCACAACCAGATCATCAACCTCATCCCACCTTGGCAACACCCCTAAACCAAGGCCATCTACATTCCTCTGGCTGCCCCTTCCTGGAGCAAGCCAAAGCATCCTTTTTGCTCACCAAGGGCCCCATCAGCTCCAGGCTCAAAGATGTTGCTGGATCCACTGAGGCGTTGTATGAAGGCAGCAATACTTTCACTGCTGCCAGCCCGAGCCCCCAGGGAGCCCAGCAGGGAGCTGAGCACACCCTGCACCACTGAGGTAAAAAACTCCGGTGACAGGCTCTCAAGACCCAGGCCTCCAGGACTCCCTGCGCCACCAGAAGGGGAGCCTGGTGGGGGCATGGTCTGCTGCTCTGGGGCAGGTGGTGGGGGTGGAGGAGGTGGGGGTGGTGGAGGGGCTGTCTGTGTTGCCTGGCAAATAAAGAAAGAACAAAGAACAGAAAGTGAGGTGAGAATGAAGACACACGGAAATAATACGGCATCAAGAGGGCACAAACCAACGGGTCTGGGAAGATGGGGAGTTACATTCTGATCTTCACTGCTTAAAGCAGAAGTATGGTAGGTATTTAACAGAGTCAGGCAGCACAACTTACCTACCTCTTCCTCTGAACAGGTTGTCAGAAAGCAGTGACACTAATTACTATACTTTCTTTTTCTAAACCTCATTTTCTTCATCTTTAAAATGAAAGGTTCAGAGTCAATGAATTCCTAGGGCCCCTTCCCCTAACATGTCACTAGGGGCTCTTACCCAGTGGTTATATAATGGCAAGAAGGTACCACTGCCTGGCTGGGCCGGGGGACAGGAAGATGAGGTGAATGGCAAGCCAGCCACTCACCTGCAAGAAGTCAGTCATGCCTTGGAGAAAGGCAGGGACACCAGGCATCGCCACAGTGATGGTGGGAGAAGCCACACCAGACCCTCCAGCCCCTGGCCCTGCAGGCCCTAGCAGGTTCCCCAGAAGCTGAGAGAACTGAAGATCAGCCATGGAGGGTTGAGGGGTGGGTGGAGGCTGGGCAGGCCCCCCAGGAGCGGGGCCAGCTGTGGTAGCTGTGTTGGTGGTGCCAGCACTGGCAGAAGCAGTGGCAGGGGCTGGCGGTGGAGCCATACCTGGGGTCCCCTGAGCTGTAAGAAACCAAAAAAAGAAAGCTGGGCTGAGCATGGTGGCTCTTGGCTGTAATCCTAGCAACTTTGGGAGGCCAAGGCATGAGAACTGCTTGAGCCCAGGAGTCTAGGCCACATAGCAAGACCCCATCTCTACCAGAAAAAAAAAAAGACAATTACTAGCCAGGAGCTAGTACTGCTAGCTACTCAGGAGGCTGAGGTGGGAGAACTGTTTGAGCCCAGGAGTTCAAGGTTACAGTGAGCTTTAACTCACTGGATTGCACCACTGCACTCCAGTCTGGGTGACAGAGCAAGACTCTGTAACTTAAAAAAAAAAGAAAAAAGCTGGCCGGGCACGATGGCTCAAGCCTGTAATCCCAGCACTTTGGGAGGCCAAGGTGGGTGGATCACAAGGTCAAGAGTTCGAGACCATCCTGGCCAACATGGTGAAACCCCCTTCTCTACTAAAAACATAAAAAATTAGCTGGGCGTGGTGGCGTGCACCTGTAGTCCCAGCTACTCAGGAGGCTGAGGCAGGAGAATCACTTGAACCCGGGAGGCAGAGGTTGCAGTGAGCCAAGATTGTACACTGCACTCCAGCCTAGCAACAGAGTGAGACTCCATCTCAAAAAAAAAAAAAAAAAAAAAAAAAAAAGCTGAAACCTGAAGACACAAGACACTACAGCAGCCCCATTCCAGGAAAGCAGGAACCAAGAAAATATGGAAAGAACTGGAAAGTGCCAGTGAGCAGACTAGGAAAGGAGTTTAAACTCTGAGTGGGGAAGAATGAAAACTCACCCACAAGGACTGGCTGCATAAGAAGCTGCCCCACAAGGCCGCTCACCATCTGGGCCAACGAGGCATTGGTACCCAGACCGGCGCCCTGCTGGATAGAGAGCAAGGGAGAACTTCAGACCTGCCCTTCCATGCACCACCACAGGAGTCTCTCCCTAGACTGTTACGCACTAGAACTCCCCGACCCTTGCTCACCAGTGTCCCAGAGACTGGGGGCCCTCCAGGATGGGAAGGCCGAGCCTGTGGAGGAGTGGGCCGGGCAATCACCACCCGGGTTGGAGCTGTTGGGAAGCCTGGCACCTGCTGTCCTGTGGGTGGCAGAAGAGACAGACCGAAGAGGGCTGAGGGCCAGGCCCTTGCCAGCCAGCTGCCACCATGGACTGTGCCCTACCTCCCAAGCCTCCCCTTCCAGGTCATTACCTGCGGCCGCGGAGGCAACAGCTGCCACCATGGCCTGATGAGTGATCTGGTGGGCGACGGCGTGCATGAACTCAGGGGGCAGGGAGGGCAGCTGGATGAGGGTGGAGCCTGGGGGGCGGGTCTGATGTAACCTTGAACCTGGACCCCTTCAACCCACCCACTCAGCCCTTCCCTTTCTCTACCCAGAGCTCAGCCTGCCCTGATGCCCTCACTCTTACCCAGGGTTTGGCCATGACCAGGGGGTCCCAGGGGGCCAGTGGGAGCACTCGGAACACCACCAGGCTGTGTGCCAGAATCTGGGCAGGGAGACAGAGACAGTGGCCCTGAGGTAGGTAGGGCCAAGGCCTAACTATATCCTTCTGAGATCAGGCATACTTCAGGCCCATAATCCCCCAATCAGAAAGCCTGCCTTTCCCTCCATCTAAACAGGGAGAGGTACTCCCTTCACCACACAAACACACCTCCAAAGACAAACCAACCCCCACACCCCCCACATCTGTCTACTTAAGCTTCTGCTCTGGTCCCCAGGCTACCACCACCAGCATGTGCCTCTCCCTTCCCCACCCTGTTCCCTCACACCTCAGCATGAACCTCCCTCATCATGCTGATCCTGCTCTTCTCGCCAGCAACTATTCTCACCTTGAATGTTCATGTGCATCATGACCACGGGTTCCACACTCTGGTGGGAAATCCGGATGACCCTCGGGTGGCTGGTGGCTGGCGGGGGAGCTGGACCTGGCGGGGGAGCCCCCTCAGCTGAGGACTCGACATTGGTAGAAGACGGAGCCACGGATGAGGCCTGCCCAGGACCAGGGGGAGGTGCCTCTGCATTGGGAGTTGGGGGGGGCCGAGTCCCATTTCCTGTCATGGTCACAGTGGTTCCCACATTGATCTGAAAAAGACAGATGGACAGGCAGATGTGAGAAAAATACAAGAGCCTAACCAAGAAAACCTCATGATAAACCTCTAAAGTATCTCCAGCCTTCATCACCATGTTTCCAGTCTCCTCCTTTCCTAACCTCCTTCAGGCCCAGTAGCTACCCTGGGTCACTCTATCAACACCCCTCACTCTCCCTCAGGCCAGACTCCCCCTAACCCACCTGTATGGGAATGGCTGCCTGCTGGAGCACCATGGGGGTGGTGTAGTGAGACATAGGCCGGACCACATGCAGGTGTCGTGGGGGCGTGCAGGCCAGATTGCAGCGCAGGTCAGACAGTGCAACAAAGGTGTTGCCCAGCAGTCGCAGGCTCTCCCCTACCAAGTTGATCAACCGCTGATCCTCCTCCCGGCCCTCGTGCTGCGCACAACCAGCCAAACACAAAAAGGCAGAAAATATCAAGCTGGAGTCCATCTCACTAATAAAAGCAATAATGCCTACTGAGAATACCATGTCCTCCAAAACTTTCAGTTATATCCTTGGAAGTTTACATGTAGACCAAATCTTTGCAAATAAATTATATCTTATTCACATAAGGAACATCCTATTAAAACACTACTATGAATCAGTAAGTCATCATATACTGATCTCCTGTACTTTACATTTTCTAAATTCATTCAGGGGCACAAGGGGTACGATACGAGGACAGTGCTTACAGCAAAGATTATCACCTTCTCTGTAAGGGAGGACAAAATCACTTACAGGTTTAGAGAGAAACTGTTTTGTTGCAATGTGTGTTTTTTTGTTTTGTTTTGTTTTTTGAGACAGTCTCGCTCTGTCACCCAGGCTAGAGTGCAGTAGTGCAATCTCGGCTCACTGCAACCCCCTCCTCCCGAGTTCTAGCGATTCTCCTGCCTCAGCCTCCTGAGTAGCTGGGATTACAGGTGTGCACCACTACATCCAGCTAATGTTTATATTTTCAGTAGAGATGGGGTTGCACCATGTTGGCCAGGCTGGTCTCAAACTCCCGATCTCAGATGATCCGCCCACCTTGGCCTCCCAAAGTGCTGGGATTACAGGCGTGAGCCACTGCACCTGGCCCTGTTGCAATGTTTTTCCAGGGAGGGAAAGAGTTATCTGTATTTCAGCCTGTTCTGTTTTGGGAGTACTGGGGCTGAGGAGAAAGGGCAGGGCCATCAAAGGGCTCACATTGTTATTGTAGTCCGTGGTGGCAGCAGCACCCAGAACCTCGTAGTAGCGCTGCAAGAAGGGCTGGAGGCGACTCTCCAGCCGCTGTAGCTCCTGGAGCACCTCGACATACTCCGCAGGGGAAGGATGGCTGTGGACAAACCCAAGGGGCAATGAGCCAAAGCCTTCCTCAGATTCCCACCCTCACAGTCAACAGGGACCACATGTGCCCTCTTTCTCCCTGGTCTCCCAGAGCCCTGGCCCAATCCTTCTCTGGACCAGCAGAGCTTCTATTCTCTTCAACCTCCGCCTCCCAGGTTCAAACGATTCTCCTGCCTCTGCCTCCCAAGTAGCTGGGATTAAGTTGCCTGCCACCACACCCGGCTAATTTTTGTTTTTTTTTTTTTTTTTTTTTTTTGAGACAGAGTCTCGCTCTATCACCCAGGCTGGAGTGCAGTGGTGCGACCTCAGCTCACTGCAAGCTCCGTCTCCTGGGTTCACACCATTCTCCTGACTCAGCCTCCCGAGTAGCTGGGACTACAGGTGCCCGCCACCATGCCCAGCTAATTTTTTGTATTTTTAGTAGAGACGGGGTTTCATCATGTTAGCCAGGATAGTCTCGATCTCTTGACCTCATGATCCACCCGCCTCGGCCTCCCAAAGTGCTGGGATTACAGGCGTGAGCCACTGTGCCCGGCCTGTATTTTTTAGTAGAGACAGGGTTTCACCATGTTGGCCAGGCTGGTCTCGAACTCCTGACCTCAGGTGATCTGCCCGCCTCTGCCTCCCAAAGTGCTGAGATTACAGGCATGAGCCACTGCACCCAGCCAAAGCTTCTATTCTTTACTCCCACCCATGAGAGGATAGGGAGAAGAAAATGAACTGCTCCCACCCTCCCCACCACAATCCTGCACCTACAATGGTGAAAGACTAATTCTAAGAAAGAGAGCAGGCCTTCGTGAACTCAGAGGAGAATTCCGATCAGGCTCAGGAGATACCATTTGGATTTCCTTGCCATAGGGAGAGCAGCAGTTCTTCTCAGCTGCCTGTCCTAGCGTCATTTACCTATACCGAGAGAGCCCCTCCTCGCCCCTCAATGCTAACCCTTCAACTAAGACCTCCAAGTAATCCTTTCCCTCCCTTGCCATGGTTCATTTCCTTCTCCCCATACTTCACTTAGGATTCCCCACCCACTAAAGATTCCCTCCATCTCTCACTTGGGTGCATTTGTTTCCGGGGCAGGTGTTGGGCCCGCTGGGGCTGGGCCAGGAGTGAGCTCCGGGTTCTGGGCTGGGGCACGCTCCTCCACTTCTTCTGCCTCCATGGGCTCCCGGGGAGGTGCTTCACTTTCAACTGGTTCTGATGTTTGAGAGCTCAAGGCTACTGGCTCCGGGGTCACAGCCGGTGGCTGCGGGGGCGGCTGACTGTGCTGCGGTTGGGGCCCTCCTCGACACTGAAGGTAGGGGAGAGTCAGGATACCAAAGGCAGGGTAAGACTGCTGCAGAGGATTACTCTACAGGAGACTGAACAGAGAAAGTATCCTAACTAGACTCCCTGAAGGCATGGCTCTGCAATTTTATCTCCGACTCGCTAGCAACTAGCATAAGACTGACACAAATTAGATGCATAATAAGCATCTGTAATTTTTTTTTTTTTTTTTTGAGACAGAGTCTCGCTCTGTTGCCCAGGCTGGAGTGCAGTGGCATGATCTCAGCTCACTGTAACCTCCGCCTCCCAGGTTCAAGAAATTCTCTTGCCTCAGCCTTCTAAGTAGCCAGGCCTACAGGCGCGTGCCACCACACCCAACTAATTTTTGTACTTGTAGTAGAGACAGGGTTTCACCATGTTGGCCAGGCTGGATTGGAACTCCTGACCACACGTTATCCCCCTGCCATGGCGACCCAAAGTGCTGGGATTACAGGCAGGAGCCACCACACCCGGCCACAGCATCTGTAATATTTGTAAATAAATTTCTAACAAAGAGTAGAGATTGTGGTTTCCTTTCCTCCACAAGTTGGTTTCCCAGCCTCCACAAGTTAAGAGAGTAGAATCCTTTAATTGAAAAGAGATGCCATGAGACTAAGTCTGAAACAAACTCCCCAGATACCAGGCACCAAGAGGATTGGCAGAAATGAGAGAGCCTCACAAAGATACTTTTTCTGCCCAAAAGAATGAATACTGCAGAGAAGACTAGATTATGAAGGCCAAACCCTGTGAATGTGGCCAGTGAAGCCCTAACTCCCAGGCTGAGAGAAAAGGGAGAGGGAGGGTGGAGAGAGACCCTAGCCAGCCTTGCCCACTTACCTCCATCCGGGATAGTAAGGTCTGTATATCCCTGATCATGTGCTGAGCCATCACCAGCCGTACCCGGGGCTCACTCTACAATGAGAGAAGGTTTATCAGGGTAGGTTACAGATGAAGCCATGAGTTCTACCACCTACTAAATCAGGTCCCAGCCATCTCTCAGCCAGGTCCACCCCACCTCCCAGCCTCCTTCTCCCAGATCCCCTTCCCTGACCCTCGGAGGCCCCTCAATACCTGAATCGGGGCCTGTTCCATGTTGATGTGAACATCCACAGCAGAGCCGTCACTCTGGGGAAAGGGTAAGGGAAGTTGTTCTGGGAGAAGCCAACACTAAGGCCTCCACACCTCCAATTCATTCCCTGGAGCCCTACCTCCTTTTCTCCTTAAAGACTGAGACCAATAGCACACCACAGGGCCCCCTGAACCCAATCTAAAGATGGAAGCATCTATCTTATTAATTCCCTGGTGCTACCACAACCAAAGCTACCCACAAAAGCCCTCCCCTGTGGAACATAAGCTTACAGGAAGATTGAAGGTTCCAACCATGACATAGCTGTTGGCATTCCGGTCATGAACAGAGGCCCCAGGCCCCCGAGTACCAGGGGGGGATCCCCCACCATGAGTGGCTGAGGCAGACCCCGTCCCAGAAGATGCCCCAGAAGGGAGGTGAGTCTGAGGAGGAGCCCGTTCCACCAGGTGGATAACCTTTCCCCCAACATCTGCAGAAAAATAGACACACACCAAAACATAGTATGAACAGGTAAACCCATGGCCTCAGTTCATCCCTCCAGACAGTAGCCCCAACCTCTGAACTGCCTCCCCAGCCCCCTTACTGTATTCCTGAAGCTTCTTATCATCTTGCAGAACTCGTCCCTGGTAAATGAGCCGTTGTTTTTCAGATGGGATGCTGACAGAGGCAGCAATGTGCTCCTTAAACTCTTTTACATTCATCTGAAAAGAAGAGGCATGCACAGGAATGGAAAGAATGGAGGAAAGAGGAAGAACAAAGACAGACAACCGAGTTGTGGAGGTGAGGGGTAAAAACCACCACAGAATCACTACCCGTTTGTCTTGACCGTGAGATCATTACTGTGCAAACCCTTAAACTAAAGTAACAGCTGTCAAAATACAGACAATAAATTTGGCTTGGCGCGGTGGCTCACACCTGTAATCCCAGCACTTTGGGAGGCCAAGGCAGGCAGATCACATTAGGTCAGGAGTTCGAGACCAGCCTGGCCAACATGGTAAAACCCCTTTTTTACCAAAAATACAAAAAAATAAGCCAGGCATGGTGGTCGCCTGTAATCCCAGCTACTAGGGAGGCTGAAGCAAGAGAATCACTTGAATTCGGGAGGCGGAGGTTGCAGTGAGCCGAGATCGCATCACTACACTCTAGCCTGGGTGACAGAGAGGGACTCCATCTCAAAAAATTAAATAAATAAACTTAATGAAGCTCAGGTTATAGATCCAGGAAAAATAACACGGATGAAAAACAAAAAAAAACCACATGGACATTATATTATCTGTCTGGCATCCAAGGGAGTATGTGTCTAGAGACATCAGTGACCCCTTTCCAAACACAAGATGATACCAGTTTATTTACCAGACTCTCCTGTGATTTCCAAGATTAAAAAATGGCAAAGAAGATGGGGTCTGGTATCAGGTTACTGAAGAAAGACTAAGAAGATAAGAAAGCAAAAAAGGTCCCAGCACAGTGGCTCACACCTGTAATCCCAGCACTTTGGGAGGCCGAGGCAGGTGGATCACCTGAGGTCAGGAGTTCAAGACCAGCCTGGCCAACACGGTAAAACCCTGTCTCTACTAAAAATACAAAAATTAGCCGGGCGTGGTAGTAGGCGTCGTCTGTAATCCCAGATACTCAGGAGGCTGAGGCAGGAAAATTGCTTGAACCCAGGAGGCAGAGGTTGCAGTGAGCTGAGATTGCGCCCCAGCCCTCCATCCTGGGCAACAAGAGCAAAACTCCATCTCAAAAAAAAAAAAAAAAGCAAAAAGAGAAATATTTTTCCTAACTACAAACTGACTCTTGGGAAGTACCAGAGTATTTATATACATCTAATCACAAGTCTATATATGGCTTTCTTATATCCAGGTAATATCACATTTTAGAAAACCATGGACCACCCCACATGCAATTTGTCTCCAAGTATTACAGGAGTAAAGACACAGATAGCTATGTCCAAGGCTTTAAGCTCAAGAGACTCAAGCTATGCCATAAAAATTAGTAATTTCACTCAACAGTCTATCAAGGACCTATCTCCATTATGGGTTCTGATTTCTACCCTTTAAAAACACAGCATAGACCTGACCAATGTCTATCAGTAAGACACACTTGCTTAGGGTTCCTGTGCTGTTTCCCTTCCCAAAGGCCAGAGCCATGCCTGTCCCTTTGGGTTGGGGTCCACCCATGATGATGACACACAGATTCTTCCTTCCTCTGTATTTCCCTCTGCATTAAGTTCTATCCATGTGGAGGACAGAACAAAATCAGCCTCACTCACAAAACATCAGAAAACGTTCTACTGGAATACGAACAAAGGGATCAATAAAAAGAAAATCTGAGGCCAGGTGCGGTGGCTCATGCCTGTAATACCAGCACTTTGGGAGGCCGAGGAGGGCACATCACCTGAGGTAAGGAGTTCGAGACCAGCCTGACCAACATGGTGAAACCCCGTCTCTACTAAAAATACAAAAATCAGCTGGGTATAGTGGCACACGCCTATAATCCCAGCTACTCAGGAGGCTGAGATAGGAAAATCGCTTGAACCCAAGAGGTGGAAGTTTCAGTGAGTCGAGATCGCGCCACTGCACTCCAGCCTGGAAGACAGGGCGTGACTCCATCTCAAAAAAAAGAAAATCTGGTGACCAGAAAATCAAGCTCATCTCTCAGGCTAAGGGGCCTAAACGAGGAAAAGCTAAAGGTGTCTTCCAGAACTAGTGAGGTGTCTCACCTGGGCCCCCACAATAAAGGTACGAGTTTGAGAGTCCAAGGTCTTCACCAACACCTCCAAGCTGTCAGGCTCCTCCACAGCGGTACTGGTACTATCATTAGGCTCCATGGCCGACAGGTCTCTAAAGAAGAACGAAGGAAGGAGGGCCCGCTGTTGCCCAGACCAGAGTGTACCCGAAAGACTCCCTAGCATTAATCCCTGCCCCAATACCTAAAAAGTTTCTCCTGCACACACACACATTCACACCTGTCCCCATCCCCCTTCTGATTCCGGGGCACAGGGAGAGAAACACAAAGGGCAGGAGATCGACGGCTTAGGGAGCTGGAGGACGAGAGGTGGGAGGGGCTCCACGACGCCAATCACAATAAGCAGGGAGCCAGTCAGATTAGGAAGGAAGCACGAGACCAGAGACTAGTGTCATCACCGGTCACGGCAGGACAAGCGCCCCAGAGGTCGGAAAATCCTGGGACAACGCGAAAGCGGTGGTCGCCCCACACTCTGCGGAGAAAGTGGTTTCGCGCACGCGCGCCACGCCCATCGAACCCTCCTAACTCACTATAGACCCGAAACGGCACTCACGGGGCGACGGACCTGCTAGCTGACTGCCCGCGTCTACTGCCTTCCCACGGTGTTCCAGCAGAACGGCACAACTAACCCACAGCCAAACACACACACACACACACACACACACACACACACACACACCCACCCACCCACCACCCCGCGGCTCCGCCCCCGACTTCCCCACGGACCGTCACTTCCGGTCTCCCCCAAACCTGCCACCGACGGCCACTTCCGTTTCCCCGATAGTATTTGGGGATCTCGAAGCGATACTTCCGGCTCCCCCCAGGTCCCCAAGCTTTACTTTTGTGGGGCACGACGAGAAAGTCCGCAGCCCCAAACAGTGAGTTTCTGAGGGCGAGTCGGGCCGGGGCCGGCCTAGGTGGGAGGGAGCCGAGCACCCCGAGGAGCCGCCACCGCTGTCGCCCGGGGGACCGTACTACGCCTGCGTGCGTCGCACTACGGATGCGTGGACACTTAAGCATCGCCCCACCCCCTCCCCCTCTGGCGGCGTTCACGTCTGTGCGCGCGCTTGAGCGCTAGAAGATTGAGGTGGCTACCGTAAATGCCTGAAAAACAGTCACCAGCTGGGACTCTACCACTGCCTCGAGAGGGGCTATGGACGGTCGTATGGACCTTGGACTTTGGAGATGGGGGATTATGCCACATTCATCTATGTTTAAATCTTGGCAGGCTGATAATTTCAGGCGGCACTGTCCTAGCCAGCTAAAACTCTTCTCCACCCTATTGCCCTCGCTGCGCCCTTTCTTCTGTGCCTCCGGAAGTTACTCTTTCAGTAGGCGTTTGGGGGCGGCACTGGTCAATTTTGTTCTCGGTTGCTTGGTTGGGCTAGATTTCGGTTCTGCCGGGTGGGCGTTTTAAGGGCTGTGGGCGTCACATTCGTCGGTGTGTGGCCAAGGGGACATGACACGTTTTAGGAAAAGTAAACGTGCTACTAAGTTGCACGACTTGTCAAGAAAAGAGGCGCTTCCGAGTTTGAGAATTGGGAGCAAATGGAGTCCGAGTGGACAGAAAGACAAGACCCTGACCGTGGGGAATTTAAAGGCCGGCCAGCGTGCTTCCGAAGGCCGGGGGTGGAGGCATTACCGCCTCTCCGTGCCCTCTTCTCTTAACCTGCCCTGGGCCAAGGGCCTCGGCCCCGCGAAACTGCGAGTCCTCCAGAAAGACACATCGCTGTTGGGGTGTCCAACCTTTCTGGGATTCGTAGTTTATACCCAGGTCCTGGTTATATTTTAGTTAAGAGTTCTAATAAGCAGCTGTTTAATGAGCACTTGTGCCAGCCCATATACTACGGGTTTTGTGTATTATTTTAAAAAGCCTTTTAACGAGCTTTTAACATTTTTTAAGTGAGTACACTTAGACGAACATAAGTGTCAGAATTGACAAATCCAGGCCTACAGGACTCCAGATCGAGCACTTGTACTTTACTGCCCCAATAAAAAGCTGTTAACATTTTAGCTTATTTTTTTGAGAGAGGGTCTCGCTTTGTCGCCCAGGCTGGAGTGCAGTGGCGCAATCACAACTCACTGTAGCCTCTGCCTCCCGAGCCCAACCGATCTTCCCACCTCAGCCTCCCTAGTAGGGACCACAGATGCACACCACCACACCTGGCTAATTTTATTTTTATAGAGATGGGGTCTTGCTATGTTGCCCAGCCTGGTCTTGCAGACTTGGCCTCCCAAAGTGCTGGGATTATAGGTGTGAGCTACTGTGCCTAACCACATTTTAGCTTTTTATTACAAAAATTTTCGGCCGGGCGCAGTGACTCACACTTGGGAGGATGAGGCGGGTGGATCACGAGGTCAGGAGTTCAAGACCAGCCTGGCCAAAATGGTGAAACCCCATCTCTACTAAAAATACAAAAATTAGCCTGGCGTGGTGGCGGGCGCCTGTAATCCCAGCTACTTGGGAGGCTGAGGCAGAGAATTGCTTTGAACCCGGGAGGTGGAGATTGCAGTGAGCCAAGATCGCGCCACTGCACTCCAGCTTGGGCAACAGAACGAGACTCCCATCTCAAAAAAAAAAAAAAAAAAATTCAAACATTACACCAAAATAGAACAGTATTAATAAACTCTAATATACTGGTCACCCAAATTTTGTTTGTTTTTTAACTAAATCGCAAGCCTCAGCCCTCGGCAAATTTTTTGTGGCAGTCCATGGGATATAAATTTATCAAGCTAGGTGTGGTGGCTCATGCCTGTAATCCCAACACTTTAGGAGGCTAAGGTGGGCCGACTGCTTGAGCTCAGGAGTTTAATACCAGCCTGGGGCAACATGGTGAAACTCCGTGTCTACAAAAAATTAGCTAGGCGTGATGGCGTGCACCTATACCTCCTACTCGGGAATCATCTGAGCCGGGGAAGTCAAAGTCATGCCTGGGCGACAGAGTGAGACCCTGTCTTAAAAATAAATAAGTAAATAAATAATCTATCGAGGAAGATCCATCTCTCACAGCATTAACTGCTCCAGTCACTTGGTGCTATCCAAGGACAACCTATTTGGCAATTCTTACTGCCTATTATTTGAGAACTTATTACCCACCAGAAACTAAGTGCTTTGCAAACATTACTATTAATTATAGCAAATATATACTTTGGACTTACCATGTGCAAGTCTTTGCTAAGGGCTTTATGTGCATTATTTCATTTAATCCTATAAGATTGATGATTTGCCAATTTTACAGATGAAAAAACAGACATAGCAGTTAGGGGTTGGTGGTGTTTTGTTTGTTTGGAGACAGAGTCTCTGTCGCCCAAGCTGGAGTGCAGTGGCACAATCAGGGCTCATTGCAGCCTCGACATCCCAGGCTCAAGCAATCCTCCCTCCTCAGCCTCCCTAGTAGCTGGGACTACAGGCGTGTGCCACCACATCGGCTAATTTTTGTATTTTTTGTAGAGACAGAGTTTTGCCATGTAGCCCAGGCTGGTTTTGAACTCCTGGGCTCAAGCCATCCGCCCACCTTGGCCTCTCAAAGTGCTGAGATTACAGGCATGAGCTACCTGCCCTGCCTGTAGTTAGGGTTTGGACACATTCTGCCTGACACCAACATCTATCCTCTCTAACAGCCAGATTACATAGCCTCTTTGTAGTAATAAATGTTGAGTGAATGTGTCAGTGAACACTGCCAGGGTATACATATTTTTCTAATTGTAAACTAAAGAGAGCAATCCACCGTGCCCCAGCACCTGCATCATACCTGTTCTAAAGCATTTACCAAGTTGTATTGCAATGGTTTGTCTACACAGCTAGTTTTCCCTCTAACGACTTCTTCAAGATCAGGGGCTATGTCTTATTCGTTTTTTTATGTCCCCGGGGATTAGCTAGTTCTTGGGAAACAACTGGGACTTGGGATTCAAAACAGTTTGCTAAGTGAATGAATGAGAGGCCCAGTCAAGCTACTTCCCTTCAGTGCTGCACAGTGCAACAAATAACCAGCTCAGATACAGGTTCAAAGACCACAGGCTTCTCCCTGGACAGCTCAGCTCTCCTCATAACTCCTGAGAAACCCTGGACATGCCAGGGTGTACTATGGAGTGGTTGCATCCGGAAGAGGGGGAGGAAGTCCCAAACACTAAGTAATCCAGGTTTGGGTTGGAAAACAAGGTTGAAGTTACTCATTAGCAGGTGAAAGGGTCAAGGGTCGAACGCAAGGGAGCTGAAAGCAGAGTGGACTGAGCAGCCAGTAGGGGAGAGAGCAGTTAAGGCACACAGAGCACCAGCTCCCTCCTGCCTGAAGATGTTCCACCAAATTTGGGCAGCTCTGCTCTACTTCTATGGTATTATCCTTAACTCCATCTACCAGTGCCCTGAGCACAGTCAACTGACAACTCTGGGCGTGGATGGGAAGGAGGTATGGACTGAGATTGGGGGAAGCCTATGGTGGAGGCTCTGAGGGACTTGGGTGGATGGCCTAGGATGACTGGAGACCATCTTGGGAAAGGAAGAGAGGAAGGGGGTGTGAGTGTTGTGATAATGAAAGCAAGAAGAAAAATATCAGTACTGTGGCCATCAATGCAGAGGCATGGCAGAATTGGGGGGTGGGGTGGTTACCCAGGTTGACTGGGGAGGGGCAAAGAGGAAAAGTCATTTAATGACTCTTTGTCATGGATCCAATCCCCAGTTGGAAAGAGGAAGGCAGCCAACACCTCTACCCCTAAATCTTGCTGTTTTGACTGATGAAGAGGTTGAACCCATCCTGTGCTGGAACCCACCCTCTTTTGCTCCCTTCATTGTCTCTCCAGTTCCCAGAGGTCCACTTGGGCCAGTGGTACTTTATCGCAGGGGCAGCTCCCACCAAGGAGGAGTTGGCAACTTTTGACCCTGTGGACAACATTGTCTTCAATATGGCTGCTGGCTCTGCCCCGATGCAGCTCCACCTTCGTGCTACCATCCGCATGTGAGTGGTAAGGAGGCAGAAGCATCACTGGGTTCAGTCTCTGCCCAAAGTGTGAGAATCCACCCACCAAGAGCTGGCCTCTTAGCTGGTATATCTACTATGCTTGGCCCACGGAATTCAGTGGCTGTAT
Organism: Homo sapiens; assembly: GCF_000001405.40. Lineage (NCBI taxonomy): Eukaryota > Metazoa > Chordata > Mammalia > Primates > Hominidae > Homo > Homo sapiens. The sequence continues at coordinate 2,912,575 of NT_167248.2, forward strand.
TAATTGCCCTCTGGAGAAAGATGTGCCTAACCAATGCTTGGTAGCTTGAAACCCAAGGAGAGCTGGGCTTCAATAACAAATACAATGGAGTAAATAGAAGCCGGGACAGGCCAGACGTGGTGGCTCACGCCTGTAATCCCAGCACTTTGGGAGGCTGAGGCGGACAGATCACGAGGTCAGGAGATCGAGACCATCCTGGCTAACACAGTGAAACCCCGTCTCTACTAAAAATATAAAAAACTAGCTGGGCATGGTGGTGGGCACCTGTAGTCCCAGCTACTCACGAGGTTGAGGCAGGAGAATGGCGTGAACCCGGGAGGCAGAGCTTGCAGTGAGCCGAGATGGCGCCACTGCACTCCAGCCTGGGCAACAGAGTGAGACTCTGTCTCAAAAAAAAAAAAAAGAAGCTGGGACACTATGGTTGGGGTGATGCTCATTCTTTCCTCCTTGCCACCACCACCTCTGCAGGAAAGATGGGCTCTGTGTGCCCCGGAAATGGATCTACCACCTGACTGAAGGGAGCACAGATCTCAGAACTGAAGGTTGGTTCTTCCCAGCCCTCACCCTCCCTTGAGTTTGGTTCTGCATCTCTGTTCTCATACTTCTCCCACCTGCCTTGACAGGCCGCCCTGACATGAAGACTGAGCTCTTTTCCAGCTCATGCCCAGGTGGAATCATGCTGAATGAGACAGGCCAGGGTTACCAGCGCTTTCTCCTCTACAGTGAGTAGGGATACAAGGCAGGAAGGGTTGGAGGGAAACAAGGGAGGGCAGGAGAACTCCTCACTCTGGGTCCTATGACACCCTCCCAGGAAGAGCTAGGTGCTTCCAGGGGTTTTGACTGGCCTGACCCCACCTTGCCCTTCCAGATCGCTCACCACATCCTCCCGAAAAGTGTGTGGAGGAATTCAAGTCCCTGACTTCCTGCCTGGACTCCAAAGCCTTCTTATTGACTCCTAGGAATCAAGGTAAGGGGTTAAAATCTCATAAAACAGGATTAGGACTCACCAAGTCTTCTGGTGTTACAGGGTGAAAGAGGCTCGTGTGATGTCACCAGAGGGATGTGGCTAAGAGCTGTGATGTCACCTGAGGGAGGCAGGATGGGTTCTGGGCTACTCAAAAGAGAGGTTTCTGAGTTTGCACTGGATAAAGGGGGCAGAGGGTCATACGTGGAGGGAAAAGAGCCTTAGAGACTCCCCTTTGACACAGGGAATGAAAGAACACGTTCTCCCCCACCCCATTACTATCAACTTTGCTTTTCTCCCTGGACTTCCCTTCTGTCCTTCTTTTTCCCTCCCCCCATCACAGAGGCCTGTGAGCTGTCCAATAACTGACCTGTAACTTCATCTAAGTCCCCAGATGGGTACAATGGGAGCTGAGTTGTTGGAGGGAGAAGCTGGAGACTTCCAGCTCCAGCTCCCACTCAAGATAATAAAGATAATTTTTCAATCCTCATCTCATTCTGGGGTTTGTCTCCAGACGTCATTCCCACTCCTCCCATTTCAACATTCCCCCTGGATCCTCTACCACCTAAACTCCCAGCTGGACGGTGTCAGTAAGAACAGAGTGGCAGTAACTCTCACTTTGTAGTGGTATATTTAGGATTTGATGTGACACAGTTATTTATTGCTGAGTGAGCAAACCCCTAGCCCCCAAGTGGGGACTACAGGCTTCAGTGCTTCCCCCACACTGCCTGAGCTACCAGCCCTTCTGCACTGGCCCTCCTGCCAATACTGCCTGCACTGTCCCCACTCCCTCTGGCTCCCATGATCACCAGATCCGCCCTGCAGGCTCCCTGTCACCTGTGGGGCCCTATCCAGACCCCCTAATCCACTTGCCTAGCAGCCCCACTCTTCCCTCGATGGCTCAGATCCTGAGATCCAAGGAACACCCTGGGTTTCCCAACCACTCTCTTACTGCAGAGGTCTGTCTATCCTGCCCTGGTCTCCTCCACCCCAGGAGAGTTTTCAAAGGTAGAGAGGACCCTTTGGTCTTTATTCACCACCATCATACTTTTTTTTTTTTTTGCTTTTAAAAAGTGGAGGTGGAAAAAAAAAAAAAACTGAAGGTGGGAGAAAAGTAAAAGCAAAAATAACAGCTGGTGAATCCAAGAGCAGTGCCCTCACTGTCCATAAACACAAACACCCTAAATAGTTCTGTTCTCTCCTGTGTATGAAGGGGGGCCCTGCACCCTCGTACTCGGGTTTCTTCCCCATCCCTGAGGTCCCTATGCTTACAATTTGGGTCATGCCTCACACTTTTCTCCTAAAGCCCACACTCTCTTCACCCTTTGCCCCCACCCCACGGTCACAGCCCCTTTCCCGGGTCTCCCCTCTGCTCCTCACCTTCCCTCTCCAACCCCTCACTCTCCCAGTCAGTGGCCGCCTCATCCCCATTGGGCTCCCGGAGGCTGACAGCCAGCACCAAGGCCTGCAGGAGACCAAAGAGGCAGGCGAAGTGCAAAGGGTGGGCAGTAAGTAGGCTCAGAACAGCATGGAGCCCATGCAGGGCAGCCAGGAAGGACAGTAGGCCATGTAGCCAGAGGCCCAGCGGTCCACGCAGGCCCAGTGTGTCCAAGGCTGCCCGCAGTGGTCGTGAGCACAGGGCCAGCAGGGCAGAGGCCAGCAGCTCCAGAAGATGCAGGGTCAGGTTGGTGGAGATCTGCAGACACTCTTCTGGGCCCCCCAAGTACCGGGAGGGAGCTCCTGGTTCCCCCCGCAGCCAGCCCAACAGCTTCTCACGCCTACCAGGTTTCTCCAATGGGGCTCCTGGCCCAGGGACGCTCAGTCCCCCTTCAGGGGACACCCCTGGTCTCCTGGTGCCACCTGAATCCACATGATCCCATCTGAGTTTGGGACTGGCCCCTCCAGCCTCCAGTCTCCCAGACTCTTGAGTGCTAGAGATAGGCTGGTCCCACTTGAGGGAATCCATTCTTTTGCTCCCTAGCTGCTCAACTTGGGGCTCCTCCTTGCTTGGTTCGGAAGCAGCCCTAGAAACCCTCAATGCCCCCGAGTCCTTAGTCTTGGGATGCCCCACATCTTCCATGGTTTCTGGGGCACTATCCCAGTCACTTCCTGAATTCTCCGAGGAGCTGTCCACCCGTCTGGGTTCTGGGTAAGGCGGGTCAGGCCTCATTGGTTTCCGGCGGCCCCAAGGGCGAGGTAGCCAGCCACCAAGCCGTCGCAGGAACATGGCTGGGGTGTGTAATGGGCCCCCAAATTCTGAGGCTGCTTCCTGGCACTACTCAGACTCTCAGGATCTCCTCAGAAGCCAGAGTCTTTCTGGCTCAGAACAGGTATTTGCCTGGTGATGCAGTCCTACTCTGAATTCAGAAGTGGCTCCTCCCTTCTCTGAATAGTCATGCAGCCTCAAGTGTGGCAAGTAGTTTGCTTCCTCTTCAGTTCTGGGGTAAAGGGGGGCATACCCAAATTCATTCACCATCCACACCCCCACAATCTGAGATTCCAAGAATCTCAGATCTGACAAGGCCTGGGTCACCACCAGAGAGTCCTCTCTGCGTTTCCGGATTTCCTTCCCAGCAGGCAGCACCCCAAGTTTCACTCACCAAGGCCACACCCCAAGGTGTCCCAGAAACTGGGGAGGCAGTGCTCCATCCAATAAAGCGGGCAGGAAGGTGGCCCCAGGTCCTAGGTGCTCCTGGATCGTGTAGTCTTTAACTGCTGCCCCAAGGGACCTCAAGGAATAGGAATTCTCTTTGTTAGGAGGTGGAATGAAAGTGTCCAGCAAACTCCAGCCAGCAGCGTTCGTCCCTTGATTTAGAGGGCTATGATTTCTACAAAGTGGCCCGACTGGCCCGCGAACACGCAGCAGAGACGCGGCCTCCACAAGGTCAGAACTAAGATGTCCTCAGAGATCCCCAGTTACGAAGCAAAGCGCGGGCCTACTTCGGGACCTACGCGTCCGGGCGCTGTGCGCGGGGACCGCTCCCGGGCCCAGCGTCGGGGCCGCGGCCTTGGGGAGCCGCCGGGAGCCGCGAAGCCCGGAAGCAGCTGCACCAGGACTGGAAGGACCCGCGGGGGCGGTGCCGCAGCTCATGGGGCGGACCCTGCGAATAGACCGCCCCCGTATACCCCGCGCTGTCTGTGCGCGCCGGACCGCCAAACCGAGATTAGCAAGGACCAGGACCTTAATATAAACCCAGCTCCCCATTTTCCCGGGTTTCTCATGCTTCCCTAAACTCGGTCGCCCCCTACAGCCCCCTGCCCCTGGGTTCTTTTCCACATCCCCCACCACTCCTCCATTTCGCATCCAAGACTTCATGAAAGGCTTTCCCAGAAAAGAAAAAATGAGGAGTCTTGCGACTTGAACAGCCCTCCCCTGCCCGTCTGCAAATTTGAATTCCTGGATTTCACAACAGTGAGCTCTTCTTGTGCCTACCACCCGGCATGAGCAAGACAAGGGGGTGGGTGGTGGGAGAGTGGGGAAGTGTGGGAAAGAAAAGTGTAGACAAATGGGTGGAACAAAGAAGTTTGACTTAAAGTTTAGATTTGGGGGCTAGAGTTCTGGTCCCAGTTCAACTAAGTGTACAAGCTTGATAATCGTGGGCCCTCCTATCACACTGGCCTCTTCCAGCAAAACCCTACCCATTCTCATCTCTAGAGGCCTTGACTTCCCTTATCACCCTGCATTATAATATTTGATAACATGGGCCGGGAGTGGTGGCTCATGCCTGCAACCCCAGCACTTTGGGAAGCCGAGGCCGGCGGATCACCTGAGGTCGGGAGTTCAAGACCAGCTTGGCCAACATGGAGAAACCCCGTCTCTACTAAAAATACAAAATTAGCTGGGCGTGGTGGGGCATGCCTGTAATCCCAGCTACTGGGGAGGCTGAGGCAGGAGAATCCCTTGAACTCGGGGGGCAGAGGTTGTGGTGAGCCGAGATCATGCCATTGCACTCCAGCCTGGGCAATGAGAGCGAAACTGCATCTCAAAAAAAAAAAGAAAAAAATTGATAACATGGCACTTTCCCTCTCCAGCTGTGAACTCTTTGAGGGTTGGGAATGTCTTTACCTGTATTCTTGGCACATAGTATATGGACTTATGTTTGTGAATCAGTGAATTGGCTGTAGTCAGGGAACTCCTCCTGGGGGAAGTGAGACTTGCACGAAGCTGGGCAATTCTTGGTCCAGGGGGGTTGAAAGAATAGGTGGGGGACTCCCAGGAGGGTCTGGGACCTGAAAGTGAACCCAGATTGGCAGGGAGGTGACCTTATCATGCCACCTGGAGAGGCTGCCCCTTCTGACTCAGGTGGGACTTGCATGTGGCTCCCAGGCTTCTGTTTGGCTTCCTCAAAATAGCTTCCAGAAAAGTGAATAAACCACAAATGGTTGATTTATTTCTGACTCTCAGCCCGTCTCTCACGAAGACAGAGCCTATTGACCAAAAACTTCAGGATCTGCATCTGGGCAGATCCCAGGAAGGGGAAGTCAAAGGGCCCAGGTCAGAGGCCCAAGTTCAGACTTCAGCAGCAGACTAGGGTCAGACTTTACCAAAGTCAGAACTCGAGGTTCATGTAAGTCCTTAGATCCCGCTCCCAAGCCCTGTCTTTCTCCTCCCTCCTTCTCTCCTCCCTCCAGCTCAGTGTGGCCACCCGAGGGGGTCTCTCCCTCCCAGCCACAGCTCGGGTATCCCAAGCTGGGAAATGTGTCACTCGGGGCTGGGGTGCTGATCTGTAGCCTAGTCCTTCCTGGTCTCTCTTGAGGACAGTGGGGATGGGATTGGCACGGCCCTCACCCCGGGGTCCCAGCCCCATTCCTGGCTCCCAGCCCCCCCTCAGCAGCAGTTTGAAGCCCGGGCTGGAGATGGGCACCCCAAGTGGAAGGTTGGGAGGCTGAGGACCCTGCGACAGTGACAGCAGGTGAGCAGTGGATGTGCGGTGGTTGGAATCTTGGAAGTGGGTGTCACAGTTCTCGCAGTACTGGAGGGAGGGAGTAGGAGACCTGCAGAGAAAGAAGAAAAAGCATTAAGGGCAGGGGAAGGAAAAGGGGAAGAGTTGAGGCCTCAGAGGGGGCTGGCAGGGTAGAATAGGATCTTTTCAGCTTTTCTGCTAAGGAACAAATTGCCAGCTAGGCATAGTGGCTCACGCCTGTAATCCCAACACTTTGGGAGGCAGAGGCGGGCAGATGGCTTTGAGCTCAGGAGTTTGAGACCAGCCTGGGCAAAATGGCAACGCCTGCTTTTTTTTTTTTTTTTTTTTGAGATGGAGTCTTGCTCTGCTGCCCAGGTTGGAGTGCAGTGCCATGATCCTGGCTCACTGCAACTTCCACCTTAGCGATTCTCCTGCCTCAGCCTCCCAAGTAGCCGGGATTACAGGCACATGCCACCATGTCCCGGCAAAGCCTGCTTTCTACAAAAAATATGCTTGAGCCCAGGAAGCGGAGGTTGCAGTGAGCTGAAATCACACCATTGCACACCAGCCTGAGCGACAGAGTGAGATGAGTGAGACTTTGTCTCAAAAAAAAAAAAAAAAAAAAAAGGGACAAATTGCCTTCCTTCCTACTTAACAGTGAGGGATCCAGGCTGGTCCAAAGGTGGTGGTGAGTTATCTGAATTAATTGTTCACTCAGTTACAGATCAAACTCCTTACTCCACTTTTCCCCTCCTTCTCACTACTGCACTTGACTTGTCTTAAAAACAAATTTCTTTAAACCATTGTGGGATCCAGAGCAGAATAGTTGAAAGAAAAAAATGGTAACCAGACCTAGCAAACTCTTGGGCAAGGGGAGGGACATTAGTCATAATGACTATAGCTAACATTCATGTATTGCATACTATGCGGCATGCACTATTCTAGCATTTTACATATATTAACCCATTGAATCCTAACAACAATTCTTACTACCCCCATTTCTAAGATGAGAAAACTGGAACATGTAGACATTAGGTTGTTTGCCCAAGTAAGTGGAATCAGGCTTTAAATCCAGGGAGCTCATGTTTATAACCACTTGACTATACTACCCTGTCAACCTACACATGAGGATAAGGAAAGAACTCTTCAGCACTGTGCTGGGGCGTCTGGTGTGGTGTGGCTGGGAGAGGCAGAACACAATGAGACATGGGTCTGAGCTAAAGTTTCCCCTTACCGGTTTTCCGGGCTCCTTGTCTCTCCATGGCTCTCCCTGACCATGCGGGCTACCTCAGGGAAGCCAGCTTCTTCAGCGAGCTGAGCCGCATCCCTGCCACTCAGCTCACAGACCCCCACCCAGGCAGCCCCACGGCCCAGGAGATAGCTCACAGCTGCCCCCTGGCCCGCTCGAGCAGCACACATCAGTGGGGTCCACCAGAAGGCATCCCGGGCGTTGATATTCCCCCCAGCTCCTCCTGCCTCATGCGGTTCCAGCAGTCTCCTAAGTTCTGGCAGGTCCCCCTCCTGGGCTGCCCTCAGTATCCGGTGAGTCATCTTATCCTCAGCCTCAAGGGATCTCCCTTGTCCATGTCTTCCTGATGCTCCTTCTGCCACTGCTTCTGCTGCTGGTGCCTTCATTATTCTTCTTTTCTTTCTCTTTCTTTCTCTGGCAGGTTCAGTCTGAGATCTCTGGGAGTCAGGAGCGCTGCTCTCATCCCCAATCAGGGCCTCATAGAAAGCTAGGGCTGCAGCCCCATCCAGGGTGGACTCTGGCTTCTCGGGCTGTGGCTGCTGCTGCCCATCCTTCCAGAGGTCGCTGGGGTCAGTGGCTGGGGTGAAGGTGATGAGCAAGGGCCGGGACATGGCTTTTGGGAGAACTGAGAAAATGATACCAGGCAAGGGAAGGATGAGACAAGTAAGCCAAGCTCGTGGTGACCCTGTAGCAACCACAGCCTCAGAGACCTGCTGGGATGAGAAAAAGTAGTCAAAAACACTTTCCTGCCACTAAAGTAACCCCACAACTTAGGACTCTGCAGGGCCTAAGGGAGAGAGACTTTGCGTAAAAACATGGAACCCTACAATACCGACTTTGCTCCTTAGTAAAGATTAATAAAACTCCATGAGACTGTTGTCCAGAGGTCCTGCGTCCGGCCCCCACCCCCATCCTCACCAACAATAAACACCAGCCTCTTTCTGAAACCACTTTCCCACCCCGTAAGACATACCAGTAGGAAAAAAAAATCAGCCTGGCCCTTTAAGTCTTCCGCGATCCCATTTCGGAGTTTCCTCTTCCCAAACAAAAATAGATGGGTCACTCCCTAGAAGATCTCGGGGAGAGTCTCCTATACGTGTTGCTGTGTAGCTTCCGTACCGCAAAATGGCGCCATTCTAATCAGAAGAGTTGACACAATCAAATAGCCACACGGCACGAAGACGCATGCGTGGCGACAACAACAACAAAAACCACAACCCACATTACTTGAGGGCTCGGGCGTGCGCAAAGCTCCGGGTTCAGTTTCCCGCGCTGGAACTTTTTCAATAGTAAACGAGCAAAGCTCCGCGCGCCCAGGTGGCGCGAGCACTAGGATCTGTCGGTTGGGGTCCTACTTTTACATAACGCCCCCACAATGCCCTTCGCCTTCCTCAACGTGGCCCCCGCTCCAAGCCCATTTTCTGGAGCCAGGAATCCACTCTGTGGGTTAGGAAAGGCCCTCAGGAGGCGGAGGGAAACCTGTGGAATGCCGAGAAGCCGTGTAATGAAATAACGTCACGCCTGCCCCTCACCATTACTCTGACCAGGGTTCGAAGGTCACACTTAGAGCCTAAGGGGAAATGGAGAAGTGCAAAGGGACGAGCAGAATGGCTGGCACCACCTCAGGTTAGCGCACTGGGACGTTCCAGTTCTCACACCGCCCACCCCACCCCACCCAAGTCCCTACGCACGGAGCCAAGCCGCACCTCTCCCCTCATGAGGCAGGAGCCCGGAGGAAACAGTATGCCCGTCAAGGGTCTCTGGCGGGACTGATTCGCACTAGGGGCCCAACAGGCAATAAGGACCCAGCGGATTGGCCGAGGATAGGCCAGTCCCCTGGGCAGCAGCGCCTCGCCGGGACTAGAGGGGAACGTGAGGAGAGCTGCGGAAAGAGATCCAGCCTGGCTCCCTCCTTTCCCCGCCCTAAGTCAGCCTCTTCACCCAGTGAGCACAAAACTGTATTGCCCAGACTCCCGGGCCCCGAACGCCATACCTGGCTTCCGCTTCCGGTGGCTTCTCGTTGTGCCCCGCCCGCAAGCGCCCTCCTCCGGGCCTTCGTGACAGCCAGGTCGTGCGCGGGTCATCCTGGGATTGGTAGTTCGCTTTCTCTCATTTAGCCAGTTTCTTTCTCTACCGGGGACTCCGTGTCCCGGCATCCACCGCGGCACCTGACCCTTGGCGCTTGCGTGTTGCCCTCTTCCCCACCCTCCCTAATTTCCACTCCCCCCACCCCACTTCGCCTGCCGCGGTCGGGTCCGCGGCCTGCGCTGTAGCGGTCGCCGCCGTTCCCTGGAAGTAGCAACTTCCCTACCCCACCCCAGTCCTGGTCCCCGTCCAGCCGGTGAGTCTGAAGTCGTCGCTGCTCCGAGTCCCTTGTCGCTGGGAGCGGCACATGGGGTCTCCGGACTTTGATGTGGGGGCGGGGGAGGAAGCGACCAGGTCCGGCACGAAGGAGGGAGAGGTGGCCTGAGGAGCGGAGGGGGGATGTGTGGATTCCGGTGAAAGGGACCTGACAATCGCCCCCAACCCGTGAGAAAAGGAGGAGCCCGGTTCTTGCTTGAGAATGATAAACTTGGAAACCCTTGGGAAAGGCGTGGGGGTCATGCAGAGACTTGTATTGGTAGGGAGCCTGAGTCGAGGTCCCTGCCGGAGTTGACACAGAGGAGAGAGGGCCCTGGCCTTCGGGAGCTCCAGGGATGTGGGTCGGGCTGGTGGGTCAAAGTATCTGTTGGCTTCTTTCAAGTGGTGGGACCCCAAAGAATGTTTAACTTCAAAGAAAAGGGGCTGAGATGTAAATTAGAGGAGCTGGAGAGGAGTGCTTCAGAGTTTGGGTTGCTTTAAGAAAGGGTGGTTCCGAATTCTCCCGTGGTTGGAGGGCCGAATGTGGGAGGAGGGAGGATACCAGAGGCAGGGAAGGAGAACTTGCGCTTTACTGACACTGTTCTTTTTCTAGCTGACGTGAAGATGAGCAGCTCAGAGGAGGTGTCCTGGATTTCCTGGTTCTGTGGGCTCCGTGGCAATGAATTCTTCTGTGAAGTGAGTTCTCTTCAACCTCCCTACTTGCCAGCTTCACATATCTTCCCACCAGACGTTCCTTCACATATTCCACTTCTACACTGTTCTCTTACATGCTATTTGAAAACTTCCTATCAGCAAAGAGTCCCCCCTATAAACCCCGACGAACCTGTGCTAAAGTGGCAAAACTGGGGCCCAAGTCCTGAGTCTGCCACCGTCCAGCAATATAACGTTGGGCTAGTCAATTTGTGTCTTTTTCTTTTTTTTGAGACTGGGTCTCACTCTGTCACCGAGGCTGGAGGGTAGTGGTGCGATCTCGGCTTACTGCCACCTCTGCCTCCCAGGTTCAAGCGATTCTCCTGCTCCAGCCTCCCAAGTAGCTGGGATTACAAGTGCCTGCCACCATGCCTGGCTAATTTTTGTATTTTTAGTAGAGACAGGGTTTCACTATGTTGGCCAGGCTGGTCTCGAACTCCAGACCTCAGGTGATCTGCCTGCCTCGGCCTCCCAAAGTGCTGGGATTACAGGCGTGAGCCATTGCGCCCGGCCTGTATCTTTTGTTACTAAAGTGGCACTGCTAGTACTTGTCTCAGGTGGCCTTTAGGAAAACTGAAATGCTACACATTGAAATGTTTTGTTCAGAAACCATGCTGTTCAGCTTCCACCTTCCTTAGCCAGCTGAGAGGACAAAACTGGTTCCTAGAGACGGGATACAGGAGTGGAGTAGGGACAAAGATCTTGAAAAGAATGTCTAAGAAAAAGATTGCTGTATCTACTTATCCTTAGAAAAGAAAAGCCAAAGCTTTTATGGGAGAGAGTGTAGGTGAACTAGGGAGAGACACAAGTACTTCTGCTGAGTTGGGAGTGAGAAACAAGCACAACAGATGCAGTTGTGTTGATGATAAGGCATCACTTAGAGCATTTTGCCCAGGTCAAAGATGAGGATTTTGATATGGGTTCCCTCTTGGCTTCCATGTCCTGACAGGTGGATGAAGACTACATCCAGGACAAATTTAATCTTACTGGACTCAATGAGCAGGTCCCTCACTATCGACAAGCTCTAGACATGATCTTGGACCTGGAGCCTGGTGAGGCACCCTCAGGGTTGTTTTGTGTGTGTGCGTGCACTATTTTTCTCTTCAAATCTCTATTCACTTGCCTGAATTTTGAAATTTCCTTTGGTTCTCTGATTTCTTTAACCCCAAATTCATGCTTTATTTTGATCCTCCACCTGACTCTTGTCTAGTTTTGTGACGTATATCACTTGTTCTCATGTTTTCTAAATCCGCAATTCAGACCTATTCCAAAATGCGTTTCCTCATGGGTCTGGTTTGTTGTCTGTTTCTCCTGCTTTGCACCTTCCAGTCTAGAGTTTCATCTTCTGCATTGACATTGTTGCAGTTATGTATTGAGGAGGGAGTTGGGAGGGAGAGCAAGGAGCAGAGGCTGAAAAGGTGTGAAGGGAAGGCAGAGCTGTCTTCGTTTGATGCAAGGGTCAGAAGCCCAGGTTTCTGGGTCCCATGCCCAGATGTTGGATGGGGTAAGGCCCAAAAGTAGGTGCTAGGCAAACTGAATAGCCCGCAGCCCCTGGATATGGGCAGGGCACCTAGGAAAGCTGAAAAACAAGTAGTTGCATTTGGCCGGGCTGTGTTTCAGATGAAGAACTGGAAGACAACCCCAACCAGAGTGACCTGATTGAGCAGGCAGCCGAGATGCTTTATGGATTGATCCACGCCCGCTACATCCTTACCAACCGTGGCATCGCCCAGATGGTGAGGCCTCTCTGCTCCTACCTGCCTCCTTCTGAGCAGTAAGAGACACAGGTTCCTGCAGCAAGAAGTCATGTTTAAGCCCTGTTTAAGGAAGCTAGCTGAGAAGAGGGGAAGAACCCCAGAACTTGGGCCTGGGAATTGAATTCTGATTGGGGGTCATCCTGAAGGGATTGTTTTCAGGGAGGGAGACAGACCTTGAATCAGAGAGTTGTGATAGACTGCCTCTTCCTCAAGGAACAAACAACAAATGGCTCTGATGGTTTGTAGCCTGCCTAATTGGAAGAAAGGCAACACAGAAGTTTGAGAGCCCATCTAGTCCAGAGAAGGGGCCTCTGGACAGAGGTGGGAGGAGTGGGGGACAGAGTGGTATGGGTTGGGCTGCGAAGGGAGTTGCCTCTTCTTTACATCTACCTGCCAACCCCTTCCATTGTATTCACCTCAGTTGGAAAAGTACCAGCAAGGAGACTTTGGTTACTGTCCTCGTGTGTACTGTGAGAACCAGCCAATGCTTCCCATTGGTGAGTGTTGAAGAAGGGAAAGGAAAGCACCGTGTGGCAGTCTTATGGGAAGGAGTTGGGGCTCAACACATTGGAGCCTGAGTCCTGAGGGGAGGTTAGGTAGGAATAGGGGGATACCTGGCCTGCTGAGTCTGGCTGTCTCCCAGGCCTTTCAGACATCCCAGGTGAAGCCATGGTGAAGCTCTACTGCCCCAAGTGCATGGATGTGTACACACCCAAGTCATCAAGACACCATCACACGGATGGCGCCTACTTCGGCACTGGTTTCCCTCACATGCTCTTCATGGTGCATCCCGAGTACCGGCCCAAGAGACCTGCCAACCAGTTTGTGCCCAGGTAGGGAGCAGGGAGAGTCATTAAGGGTCAAAGGAAAGGCCCAAGATCCCCCAGAGAGGGGAGGACAGGGCATGGCCCTTTCTTGAGGTCTGCTTCTCCCAGAATCAGGGCATCTCCCTGCTGAGTGACTGTGGGAAAGTTATTTGATTATCTGTGCTTGAGTTACCTTATTGTAGAATGTTCTTGAGCTGAGAAGTTGGGAACCACGAGGCTTTAGCTCTGAGCAGGTCCATAGAGGAGCTCAGGTGGGGAGGTGGGAATGCAGGTGACTGGCAGGGCCTGGATGGGGCTCATGCTGCTGCCTCTCTGACCTCTGCCCTGGCCTAGGCTCTACGGTTTCAAGATCCATCCGATGGCCTACCAGCTGCAGCTCCAAGCCGCCAGCAACTTCAAGAGCCCAGTCAAGACGATTCGCTGATTCCCTCCCCCACCTGTCCTGCAGTCTTTGACTTTTCCTTTCTTTTTTGCCACCCTTTCAGGAACCCTGTATGGTTTTTAGTTTAAATTAAAGGAGTCGTTATTGTGGTGGGAATATGAAATAAAGTAGAAGAAAAGGCCATGAGCTAGTCTGCTGGTGCTTGCTGTTGGGGAAGGGAAGGTGATGGTGTGTTGGACTCCAGGGGCCCTCATGGCCCAGCCCACCCTCCCCAGATTGAAAACCAGGACAGATTTGTGCTCAGTGGATTGGGTGGTGTTTTTAGTATGGAGCAGAACAGAATTCCTAGGACTGCGTGTGATGAAATGCAAGGTCAAAAGGAAAAGACAAAGCATATTTCAAAGATGAGAAATATTTGTTTGGATATCTATGACTGTCTGTTTATACTGTAAGGGGCTTAATCAGCAGCTCCATCTTTTAGTTTTAGTTCTAAAGGAAAAGTAGCCTAAAGTCAGTATAACTAAAGGGTGGAACGAGGTGGGACAAGGTCCGGAATTGCTGCTCAGTGATGTGTGTGTGCCTGCCGCTGGTGGAGCTGAGACTGCTCATCTCAGAAGGATGGGGATGCTTGATTTCCTGGCCAGGTTGTCCCAGCACAGTGGGGATTGGCCCTGTTGTATGACGAAGACAGCACATGGTGGCAGAGATAGATACTAACCCATGGACTTTCCAAGGGAGGGAATAGGTCTTTGGAGGGTATGCAAGACAAAGGTAGACACTGGATAAAGAACCCGGTAGTGCCCAGGTATTACCCCATCTGGGCCATTACTCCCACACTCAGGAACCAGACGTTGTGGGTGAGGACATGCTGTCCCTCCTGCCAAGTAATAACTTCCTTCCCAGCCAGGATCCTGCCCCAAGTAGGAATATAGCTCTGCATTTACAGCAGCTCCTGCTCAGACCTTGTCAAAACCACCCTGCAGCTTAGGATTAAGGAGCATGGTCACAGGAAGGTGGGGTTTCAGGGCATCCCCTCAGGAACTGCCCATCTCCCCAGAATTCCAAAATGAAGGTCCATATGCTTGTAGGTGTGCTGGTCATGGTGGGCTTCACAGTAGGAAAGGGTAAGTGGGGCCCAGGGGCAGGGAGGGAGGAAGGGGTAACTGAGTCCAGGAAGGGGGTGGAGCGTGGCCATGGATAATCGGGCTTCCTACTGGCCCAGGGTATTTGAGAGTGACCCAGTGCCTCCATCCCTCCTTCTGCCTCCCCAGTTCCTGTTCCCGACATCCGGACGTGCCACTTCTGCCTCGTAGAAGACCCTTCTGTAGGATGCATTTCAGGCTCAGAGAAGTGTACCATCAGCAGCTCATCCCTGTGCATGGTGATCACCATCTATTATGGTAAATAAGGTCCCAGGAAGGGGCTGCTGGTGGGGCAGCCAATGGCTTGGTCTTCTCTCCTCTCACAAATCAGGGCTGCTCCGGGCATGGGGTACAAGAAGAGAGGAGGGGCTGAGTGCAATGGCTCATGCCTGTAACCCTAGCACTTTGGGAGGCTGAGGCAGGTGGATCACTTAAGCTCTAGAGTTCAAGACCAGCCTAGGCAACATAGTGAGACCCTGTCTCTACAAAAAAATAGCCAGGCATGGTGGTATGCACCTGTAGTCCCAGCTACTCGGGAGGCTGAGGTGGGAGATCTCTTAAACTCAGGAGGCATAGGTTGCAGTGAGCCAAGATTGCGCCACCATGCTCCAGCCTGGGTAACAGAGCTAGACCCTGTCTCAAAAAAAACCAGAAGAATCTTGGAAGGAGGGGTCTAAGGTTCTAGGGGGCCAGCAGAGCTCACTTTTCTAGCCTCTTGAAGGACTCTGGGTTAGAAGTAAATTAGGTCTGGGTGAAGGATGGGAAAAGTCAGTAGCAGGGGTTCTTGGACTATGGGAAGCTATTGGAAGGGGTTATCAGCTTTCCCCTCTCCCTCAGATGTCAAGGTTCGCTTCATCGTTCGAGGCTGTGGACAGTACATTTCCTACCGCTGCCAAGAAAAACGCAACACCTACTTTGCAGAGTACTGGTATCAGGCCCAGTGCTGTCAGTACGATTATTGCAACTCCTGGTCAAGCCCCCAACTCCAGAGCTCTCTGCCGGAGCCCCATGACAGGCCCCTGGCCCTGCCTCTGTCTGACTCCCAGATTCAGTGGTTCTACCAGGCCCTGAACCTCTCCCTGCCCCTCCCCAATTTCCATGCTGGGACGGAGCCTGATGGCCTGGACCCCATGGTCACACTGTCCCTGAACCTGGGCTTGTCTTTTGCTGAGCTGTGCCGCATGTACTTGTTCCTCAATAGTTCAGGACTTTTGGTTCTTCCCCAGGCTGGACTCTTGACACCTCACCCTTCCTGAATTCCACAGTGCAAATATCTTTCTGTAACACCCTCAGCATCCTGCACTGCCCTCTCTGAAAACACCCACATTCTTTGGTCACTGTGATTTCTTAGGCCTCCGTCTGTTGTACCACTAGCATCTATATGACTTTTGTGTAATTTTCTCTCTTGAACTCTGGTGCTGTTTTTTTGTTTGTTTGAGACAAAGTCTCGCTCTGTCACCCAGGGTGGAGTGCAGTGGCATGATCTCTGCTCACTACAACCTCCACCTCCCGGGTTCCAGCGATTCTCCTGCCTCAGCCTCCCGAGTAGCTGGGACTACAGGCGTGCACCACCACGCCTGGCTAATTTTTTGTATTTTTAGTAGAGACGGGGTTTCACCATGTTGGTCAGGCTGGTCTCGAACTCCTGACCTCGTAATCTGCCCTCCTCGACCTCCCAAAGTGCCGGGATTACAGGTGTGAGCCACTGTGCCTGGCTGAGCTCTGGTGCTGTTCTTCCCCCTAGAAAAGAATCTCTAGTGTGGATTCTGCCCAGACAGGCTGACCTGAGAAAGGCACAGTGGTTCCTCCATTCCTTCCCCATCATCTGAGTGTTCCAGTATCCCCCATCCCTCTCAATCCAGTCACCTGCCTATTGACATCTAGCTCTGTTTCCCCTGTCTTGTCCATGTCTCTAAGACCCAGTACCAGACTGAACTAGCAGCAAGAAGGACGAGGAGGCCGGGCATGGTGGCTCACGCCGGTAATCCCAGCACTTTGGGAGGCCGAGGTGGGCGGATCACTTGAGATTGGGAGTTTGAGACCAGCCTGGCCAACATGGTAAAACCCGCTCTCTATTAAAAATAGAAAAATCAGCTGGGTGTGGTGGCACACCTCTGTAATCCCAGCTACTCAGGAGGCTGAGACAGGAGAATCACTTGAACCCGGGAGGCAGAGGTTGCAGTGAGCCGAGATCGCGCCACTGCACTCCAGCCTGGGTGACACAGTGAGACTCCGTCTCCAAAAAAAAGGATGAGGAATAGAATTCTGTGCAGATGTCCTGACTTGGCAATTTTGTGTCCCTGCCTCACTGTCTCCACCAACCCCCGCCTGTCCTAGTGTTGTTCTGCCTCCTGTCCTCTCTTGCTCTCTTGTCAGTCTCTGGCTTCCTCGGCCCCATTTCACTTCACTGAGTCCTGACACCCATCTCCCTAGGGGCCTGTGAGAGGAGAGGGAAGGGTCTGTTCTGCTCAGCTCCATGTCCCCCATTTTCCTCCACAATAAACTGGGACTGGGCTAAAACTGTGTCACATTGTTTGTGGGGTCAGGCTCAGGTGTGGGCAGGTAAACACAGATTAAAGAGGGTTAATGCCTGGCGCAGTGGCTCACGCCTGTAATCCCAGCACTTTGGGAGGCTGAGGCAGGCGGATCACCTGAGATTGGGAGTTTGAGACCAGCCTGACCAATATGGAGAAACCCCATCGCTACTAAAAATACAAAATTAGCCGGGCTTGGTAGCGCATACCTGTAATTACAGCTACTCGGGAGGCTGAGGCCGGAGAATCACTTGAACCTGGAAGGTGGAGGTGGCGATGAGCCGAGATTGCACCATTGCACTCCAGCCTGGGCAACAAGAGTGAAACTGTGTCTCAAAAAAAAAAAAAAAAAAAAAGGGTTAGTGAGGTTTGGGATCCAAATAGGATTGCAGAGCCCTCTCCATTGCACTTGGCGTTTGTCGCTTCCTCTCGGCCTCCTGTAAAGGGCACACATCCCTCCCCACCCTCTGCTTAGCTGGAGATCAAAGCATGGGGACTGTGATTCTTCCCAGCCTTAAACATACCCTACAAAACCTGGAAAGTTAGACCCTGATGATGCCAGGTCTTTTCACCTAAGAAAAGAAACTTTAGGCCAGGTGCGGTGGCTCATGCTTGTAATCCCTGAACTTTGGGAGGCCGAGGTGGGTGGATCACCTGAGGTCGGGTTTGAGACCAGCCTGACCAACATGGTGAAATCTTGTCTCTACTAAATATGAAAAATTAGCTGGGCATGGTGGCTCATGCTTGTAATCCCAGCTACTTGGGAGGCTGAGGCAGGAGAATTGCTTGAACCGGGGAGGTGTAGGTTGCAGTGAGCTGAGATCACGCCATTGCACTCCAGACAGGGCAACAAGAGCGAAACTCTGTCTTAAAAAAAAAAAAAAAAGCCTGGGCGCGGTGGCTTGCCTGTAATCCCAGCACTTTGGGAGGCCGAAGCAGGCGGATCATGAGGTCAGGAGTTCGACACCAGCCTGACCAACATGGTGAAAGCCCATCTCTACTAAAAAAAAAAAAAAAAAAATTAGTTGGGCATGGTGGCACGTGTCTGTGATCCCAGCTACTCAGGAGGCTGAGGCAGGAGAATCGCTTGAACCTGGGAGGCAGAGTTTGCAGTGAGCCGAGATCGTGCCACTGTACTCCAGCCTGGGTGACAGACCGAGACTGTCTCCAAAAAAAAAAAAAAGAAACTTTCTCTTTAAACCAGAAAGACTCAGGAACTCAGAGCCACATGCCAGAGTTACCTGCTGCTGGGGCCCTGGACTCCTGCCATTCCTTAGTTCTTTTCAAGGATTCTGGCATCCAGGATGCCCTCTCGAGGGGCCCAATTTGAGGGGCAAAGTGCTGAGAGCACTGATGTTGGGCTGCAGTGGTTGGATCTTCATGCTAATATTTTAATTTTGAAATAGTGCAAACGTATAGAAAGCAAGGATGGATACAACAGCCTTTTCCATACACTGGATAAACATGCTGGACATAACGCTGCTCTGAGTCAGGCTTGGTATTGAGCAGCAGGACTCCCAGATGAGTATAGCCAGGTGTCTGCCCTTCCAAGTCTTGCAGCCCAGTGCTTGGGTTATGAAACCTTTTTCTGAAAAGCAGTGCAGCTTTGTGGCTGGGAGGTCCAATCCCAGCCCCTCTACCACTTGGATATGTCAGTCTCTTCAGCCCCACCTTGGTCACCTGTCAAGTAGGGATAGTGCCTCAGATGATTGAGAAAACACATGTAAATGTGCATACACAAGTAGAAGTTAAGGCCTTTTCCCCCTCAAAAAAATATATTTGCCCTAGAGTCAAATGCATACACAATGTTCAGCTTTTTTTTCTAAGGTTCTTACTATGTTGCCCAAGCTGGCCTTGAACTCCTGGGCTCAAGAGATTCTTCTGCCTCAGCCTCCAAGTAGCTGGGACTACAGTTGCACACCACCATGCTCACCTGGCTGATTTACTTATTTTCAAACCTTTTTGGTAAAACATTCAGAAGCTTGCACATATCACAAGATGGATTTTTGTAAACCACACATCTGTGTAACCAGCCACCAAATCAGCGTGAAGACCTTTACCCGCAGCCAAGCCTGCCTCTGTTCCCCTCTCCCAGGTGCTCTTCCCAGCTCTGGGGTAGCCGCTGTCCTGACTGGTAGTAGCTTAGATGAGTTCTGTCTGTGCTTGATGGAAATGGCATCGTACGCATCTGCTTTTACCTATATAGTGTTTTGCACACGTGTTAACAAATCTGTGTGGCCTGTACTCTGACGGAAAATACCAAACCAATGATAATTAAGTCATGAGGCAGTTGGCGTACAAAGAGAGGTACAAACCCTTAATGTGCCCCCCAACCCCCACCTTGCTAAGTCCACCCTTCTCCATGACCTCTGACGTCAGTATAAGACAGAGAAAGGCCCAGGTTTATAGCAGGTCAACCTGGAAGACACCCTCAGAGGCTGAAGAACTTGGCCCAGAATTGAAGAGACCAGGACTCCAATAAGGTCTAACATCTCTTTGAGAGTGGCCTTCTCGGCTCGGGGTGACTCACGCCTGTAATCCCAGCCCTTTGGGAGGCCAACGCAGGCAGATCACTTGAAGTCAGGAGTTCGAGACCAGCCTGGCCAACTGGTGAAACCCCGTCTCTACTAATAAAATATAAAAATTAGCCAGGTGTGGTGGCATGTGCTTGTAATCCCAGCTACTCGGGAGGCTGAGGCAGAAGAATCACTTGAACCTGGGAGGCAGAAGTTGCAATGAGCCAAGATCACACCACTGCACTCCAGCCTAGGTGACAGTGAGACTGTCTCAAAAAAAGAGTGGCCTTCTCACCCACCTCCTTCTACCTGGGCCTGGTCCTTTCGCAGCCCCCTTCCCACCAACATAGCCCTCTAAACGCCCCTAGCCCCCACACAGCTCTGGTCTGACAGCACTGCCGAGGATGCCCACTAACTTTCTGGCATTCACCATAGGAGGGCTTTCATTTCCTCTTTCTCTTTTTGTGTCTAGAGCAAATCACATACCAAGGCAGGACAAGAGGACAGCTCAGCAGAGCTGGGGGTCCCTTACCTGACCCATGGTAGGGCAGTTAGGCAGGTGCACCTCCCTCAGCCTTCACCTCCACCAGAAGAAAGAGACATACCAAACAGTTTACACACAAATTTATTTGGGAGAAACATCCAGGGACTAGGGGACAAGAGAGGAAACCTGGTGGGCAGTAGGGCTGGGGGTACAGAGTAGCAGTAAGTGTGCTGAAGGGCGTCAACCAAGAGGAAGAGCCAAGGCTGGGGTCCAGTGGCTGGAGGGAGGCAAGGAGGGCTGGTGTGAGGGACTAGAAGTCCTGGCCAAGCCCAGATAGAAGTCAGGAAGGTGGCTGGAAACTGGTGGAATTTTACACCAAAGTTTGCTGCAGTCACACTAAGGAGTATAGAGCCCTCTGTTTTGAGGGTCATTGCAGAAATCCAGGAAGCAGTATTGAGAGAATATCCAGAAGCCAGACACCGGAGAAGTTCGGGTATTTGAACAATCACTCATCTGCTCCTTACTTCGGCAGTCACTCACCATGACGTCAGAACCGCTGCCTGGGGAGGGACAGTGGGCACCAGTGATACGGAAGTCCCCAGGAAGAGCCCCAAATCCTCTCATCCCCACACTCATAAGTCAAAAAAAAAAGAAAAAGAAAAGATTCCTGTAGTTAGGCATGGGTGGACATGCCCAGTGTTCACCAGCCATGGAACTCCACTGAAGTTCCCATGCAAGGCTGGAGGAAAAGAGCCATATGAAATGTAATGGTTGGAGGGGGAGTTGGGAGTTACTGAGCCAAGTGAGGAGAACTAGCACCATAGGACCATGTGAGAAAAAGCTGGGAAATGTTTTGGAGATTGGGTGGCAGGAAGGAGGTGTATTGTTATTTATTTTTCAGACCAAAAGAGAATAAGATGATGTCTGCTGCTGTTATACATAATAGAGAAAAATCTTTGTGCCTGCATCCCAAGAAGTCATGTTCAGGGATGTTTGCTGCTGCCCTGCTTGAGAGAAATGACCAAAATGCCCATCAATAGTGGGATGGGGAAATCAGCTGTGATATGCGCATGCTATGGAGTAGTATACAGCAGGTCAATAAAACAAGGAAGCTGTTTACAAACTGATATCGGAACATTCAGTTCCCCTAACTTAAATGTGGAATAATGTTTACAGTGGGATGCTACTATCTTGGGTTGGGGCGGGGGAAGAGGTGAAAAAATAGTAAACAGCATATTTGTGCAGGGTGGAATGTGCATAAAAGATTGCAGGAGGGATCATCCAGAAAGTAAAAAAAGTGGTCACATGTGCAGGGGAGCCAGGTGGGTTAGGGTAGTAGCGGGAGACTTTGGTTTGATGGTATTGTATACTCTGATATTTGACCCACATCTGTGCATCGGCTATGTTAAAAGGGTAGTAAGAGGACTTGAACACAGGCAGCTGCATGCAGTGGTTGTTGAGAGCACCATCTCTGGAGCCATCACAAATTCTGGCTCAGCATCTGTGAGACTCAGGCAAGGTTATGACCTTTCTGCACCTGTTTCCTCATCTGTAAAATGCACATAGTAATAATACCTGCCTCAGTGGATTGCAAGTGTTTAGAACAGTGCCTAGCACATATTATGTGTTACGTTTTTGCTAACTTAAGAAAGGTGGGGGGTCGGTGGAAGAGCAGGCATCGGGAAGGAGTCAATTTTCAGCGAGGGAGATGTCCAGTGGTCAACGGGATATGAGGAGAGCGGTTTGACATAACATTCAGATTCAGAAGGAAGTGGTATGTGGCTGCTGGTTGAAGCCAGCAAAGCAGATAAAATCCTCTGCTTTTGAGTATATGAAGTGGGAAGACAGCTAAGGACCAAACCTTGGTGAACATGAACCACTAAGGGTCAGAGAGAAAACGCTCCATGAAGGAGACTGAAGAAGCCGTGGAGGATGCAGGAGAAGAGCAACACCAGCAGTAACTGCAGACAGATGCGGAAGCAGACAGCTTGAGGACAGGCAAGGGCACCTGGAGATCTGGAGGGTCCCCGTCAAAGCTGCGCACCTTGATAGGGTAGAAGCTATTCAGCTACAGATTGAGGAGAGAAGGTTAGTGGAAGTGGAGACAGAGTGTGGCTCTGAAGAAAAGGGAAGAGAGGCTGGGCACGGTGGCTCACGCCTGTAATCCCAGCACTCTGGGAAGCTAAGGTGGGTGGATCACCTGAGGTCAGGAGTTCGAGACCAGCCTGGCCAACATGGTGAATCCCCATCTCTACTAAAAATACAAAAAATTAGCTGGGCGTGGTGGCGTGCACCTTTAATCCCAGCTGCTTGGGAGACTGAGGCACAAGAATTGCTTGAACTGGGGAGGTGGAGGTTGCAGTGAGCCAAGATTGCGCCACTGCACTCCAGCCTGGGTGACAGAGCAGCAAAAAAAAAAAAGACAGGATCGGAGCAATGTCTTATGGGATTATGGGAACAAGACTTGGGGTGCAGCTTAGGAGGCTGAGAGAGTTTCCGTTTGGGAGAGTGCTGGGCCCATGACAGGAGAAGGCCACTTACTGTTCTTTTTGTGGAGAGTGATGCAGCTGCTGCCAGCTGGGGTGAGGCAGATGTCAGATCCCAGAAGGCACCCTAACTCCTTGGTCTCCAAGAGGCATCGGTAGCAGCGCAGGTATTTGGGGAATGGAAGTGGTTGAGGGGGTTCCCAATTGACAGGAACAAACTTACCTAGAACACAGAGAAGTGCTGACCCCACTCACACCCCATTCTACCTCACACCCTACCACTGCCTGATTCCAGGCCACTCAGCCCCACTCCTCCCTCCCTTCCTGTCTCAGAAAACCATCAAAGCCCCAATTCTCTGCTTCCTTCCCCAACTGCATACACATACATCCCCCTTTTCCTCTGGTCCTAAGGCCAGACCACATGTTAACAAATCCCCAGACCCAGCAGAGCACTTGGTGTTAGGCAGAGGAAAGTGCTAAACCAACACTTTGAATCCTGTGTCTCTGTGGCTGGTGCTTTGCAGCCAAGTGGGGAGCCCAGCAGGCTGGACTCAGTCTTGTTCTATCCTGTGGATTCTGGTTTTCTCATCCAGCACACTCCCTAACCCTCCCTATTCTATGTTGCCCTCAGATCCAGAGAGGATTCCTTCAGTATCTCTATTCAGGTCACTGCTGTGAAGTGAGACAGCCCTGGGGTGGTCACTAGAAATCTCCTTCAGAGGCTGGGTGCGGTGGCTCACGCCTGTAATCCCAGCACTTTGGGAGGCCAAGGCGGGCAGGTACCTGAGGTCAGGAGTTCGAGACCAGCCTGGCCAACATGGTGAAACCCCGTCTCTACTAAATATACAAAAATTAGCTGGGCTTGGTGGCTTATGCCTGTAATCCCAGTTATTCGGGAGGCTGAGGCATGAGAATCGCTTGAACCCGGGAGGTGGAGGTTGCAGTGAGCCGAGATCTCGCCACTGCACTCCGGCCTGGGATACAGAGCGAGACTCCATCTCAAAAATAATAATAATAATAAATTTTTAAAAATCTTCAGATTGCACATCAGTCCATGAGCAGGCATTCCCTACCAAACCCATCTGTCCCATCTCTCCTCCTGCATGGGTTTACCTGAGCATCCTGGACAGGTGTACCCAGACACTTGGTGTCTGTGGGTTTCTCCATCCAGGCCAGGAGACCCTTCTGAACCCTTGGAGCCACTTACCAAACACCAAGCTCATCATGACCAGCACTATTAAGAGGACCGTGTAGAGGGCTTGGGGGCTGCTGTGGAAGCACAGGGGACCCAGACTCTGGCTCCCTGCAGGGCCTGCCATAAAACGCATGACTGCCTGCTGGCCTCCAGTTTGGGCTTATATTGGTGGAAGAGAGGTTGGCCAAGAGGAAGGAGAGAGGCAACACCAGCTCAGGGTGGAAATCAGTGCCAGACCAGCCAGAGGGGCAGAATGTTCGCACCCACAGCCACTCTGGGGCATAACATCCTGCTTGAGGGCAGGGGACCAGCAATAGGGGAATGAGAAAAGGAACTGTCTTTCCTATTAATTGGACAGATGTTTATTGAATCACTGCATCAGATGTTGGGGATACAACCCTGCACAAAGTCTCCACCCTCACAGGGCACAGTCTAGTAGGGGAGACAAGTCCACCAGCAATGATGTGGGGAGGGCAGAGTGCTGCCAGGAGCACCTCGACAGTTAAACCACTGACCAGAGGGATTTCGGCAGAGGAGTAACTTGATCGGATTTCTGTTTATAAAAGATTGCCATGGCTGCACATTGCATTTGGGTCAAGAGTGGAGGCCGCCGGGAAGTAGGACGCTATTCCCGAGTCCGGTCACAAGATGGCGGACTGGTCCGGCAGAAGACGAGCAGGGACGAGGAAGCGGGGCTAATGAACCTGAGATACAGTTAGAAGACTGGACAGATTTGCTGTTGGACTGAACGAGGGGTGAGGGAACAGGGGTAGGCTTGCACAAGGAAGTGGTACCATTTTCCAAGATAGGAAACATGTGGTCTGTCTCAAAAAAAAAAAAAAAAAGCAAATAGGGGGTGCCCAGTCCCACTTCTCATACCCTGGGGACACCTGTCAGACATCCTAAAACAAGGACACCTGGATCCCAAGCGATACGTACTCAGCTCAGTGCTCCCTTGGGGTTCCAGGAACCCAGCGCCTTCCCTCACCTCATCCTTTTTCCTGCCCCGCCTGTGCTCAGCTGCGGCTCAGTGGGCCTGAACTCCGGAGCCCACAGAATCTGGCGCTGGGCGTCCGCTCTCCGCGCCTGACCGCACCTCAGAACTCCGGTAGGACGGGGGGGTGGCCCCCGGCTCAAGCTCTGTTCCCTGGGGAAGAAACCTGGAAAGTGCGAACCGCGCGTCGGGACCCAAGCGTCGGGCCCCAGCGGACATCCGGAGCCCGAAGCGGCTCCCCAGGAAGGCGGCGCCGTAGCGCCACTCTCCCTCCCAGGCGAATTCTGGAGACCGCGGCCCCAGGCGTCTCACCCATTTTCTCCGCTGGGGACCCGCTGGGCTCCCCATCCACGCCTACTCGGTCCCCACCCCACCAGCTCAGTCTTGACTCAGAAACTCAGGGTTTTTACTTTTAGGATCGTTGGGCTGTGCGTTAGGGGAGGAGGTGGTCCTCAGCGTCCTGGAACGACACCACCTGCTCCAATTTCCCGTCTGGAGGTTCTGGTCGAGGCTCCGAACTCGGGTTCCCTGCTACCTCCCAGACTATTCAAGAATTATCCAGTCCCAGGATGATAAGGGGGAAGATGGGAAGAAACAGACGGGAGACGCCCGCCCAGAAAGACTGCGGGAAGAAAGAAATTCGAGAGGAAACTGCACGCCACTGAGCGCCTCCCAAAAGCCTTGGAATGAATGAATTTAAAAACTATATTAGGGCCGGACTGCGGTGGCTCACGCCTGTAATCCCAGCACTTTGGGAGGCCAAGGCGGGTGGACTACCTGAGGTCAGGAGTTCGCACCCAGCCTGGCTAACATGGTGAAACCCCGTTTCTACTACAAATACCAAAAATTAGCCGGGCGTGGCGGCTCATGCCTGTAATCCCAGCACTTTGGGAGGCCAAGGTGGGGGATCATTCGAGGTCAGGAGTTCGCAACCAGCCTGAGCAACATGGTGAAACCCCGTCTCTATCAAAAAATACAAAAACATTAGCCAGGTGTGGTGGCGCACGCCTGTAGTCCTGGCTACTCGGGAGGCTGAGGCAGGAGAATCTCTTGAACCTGGGAGGCAGAGGTTGCAGTGAGCCGAGATCGCACCACTGCACTCCAGCCTGGGCGACAGAGTGAGACTCTGTCTTAAAGAAATAATAACACAAAATAAATTGTATTAGAGAAAAGCCAGAGTAGTGGAGAACTGCAGAGGAACGCGGGGCACCTACATAAATGTCTTGAATGAATGAGTGCACAGAGTGATAGACAAAAAGAATCAGAGGGCCGGGCTCCGTGGCTCACGCCTGTAATCCCAGCACTTTGGGAGGCCGAGCTGGGCGGATCACAAGGTTAAGAGATCGAGACCATCCTGGACAATATGGTGAAACCCCGTCTCTACTAAACATACAAAAATTAGCCAGGAGTGGTGGCGCCTGCCTGTAGTCCCAGCTACTCAGGAGGCTGAGGCAGGAGAATCGCTTGAACCCGGGAGACGGAGGTTGCAGTGAGCCGAGATCGCGCCACTGCACTCCAGCTTGGCGACAGAGCAAGACTCCGTCTCAAAAAAAAAAAAAAAAAAAAAAAGAGAGCCAGGGCTCCTCTTGAAGCGAAGAGGGCAAAGGGCAAAGGGGAAGCACAGGGGAACTTCGCGGCGCCCTCTGAAGCTCCCTCTCGAATATAATCGCAACGAAAAGGCCAACGACTAGAGGCTTTGCGAGGCTGAGGCTGGGCTTCGGGAGGGGATTGCCCTGAGAGGTCCGGGAGGACTTGCTGTGGAATTCAAGCGACCGTGGGCCTTGAGGGAACCGGGGGGCAAGACACCCACCCAGCATTCGCGGAATATTTCCTCGAATTATTTCGGGGAGGGGTGAGGCCGGGGCAGGGTGGGGCCTTCTTCGGAGGGGGCGCGGCCTCCGAGTAATTAATCCCGTCTTTGTTGCGTTTTGCTCCTCTCCTGTCCACCCAGCAGGGCCAGCCCAGGGCGCGCTAAGAGTCCAGAGAGTTCGTTTCCATGGTGACGGGTTCCGCGAAGGTTTTCCTGGGGTGAAGAGGCAGGGCGTTGAATAATCGCCATGGCGACAGCAGCAGATGACGGTGTCCCTTCTGAGTGCTCCTACCTAGAGTTAAGGGATACCTGAGGGTAAGCAACCGAGTGACGAAACAAAGAAGGCGGGGCCTGAGGACAGAACGCCCAGGTTAGGGGAATGGAGCCAGGCAAACGAGGGGCGGGGCTGTAGATGACCCGGTCGGGAGAGGGCCACGGTTTGTTGGGGGAGCGGCTCGAGATTGCGTTCTAGAGAGGAACCAGAGAGAGGGTCTTTAACCTAAATATAAATGAATGACTGGATTCCTGAAGAATCCGGAATGGCTTGTTGATTGGATAGATGGATGGATGGATGGACGGACGGACGGACCGATGGATGGAAATCTGGCTATCACTGACGCCTGAGCTCCCCACCCTCTTGGGCCCTCCACCTCCGGAGCCCTCACTCGCTTGTGACAGCTGTACGAGAAATACATGCCTCTCCTAGGAGCAAACCCTCAACCCAAACAGGCAGCACAGAGCCAGTCCAGCACCTCACACTGGAGGCACTCAGGGTGGAGCCCAGGTCGATGAGACGGCGTAGGATGAGGCTTTTTGGCCCAGCTGGGAACCACTTCTTTCCAGATTTCCCGTCCAGAGTCTAACTTTCCTTTCTCCCAGCGCCATCTTTTCTGCTAGTTTGCCCAGCTCCTCAGGGTGCCTGGACTTTCAGGCCTCACCTTGTGTCCAGTATAGCAGGGTCCAGCGCCCCAGCAACTGGGAAGGTCTGCATCTCTGCTGATCATCCCCTGGAACTGCTGGAACTTTGCTATATAGGGTGAGGAGTGGACAGGGGCCTGCTTCCACCCCTGGGTGGGGATTAGTTCTGAAAACAAACACAGCTGCTCTGAACCTTATTGCATAGGGAGTAATCTGAAGTAGGCTGAGGCCCCTGGATGGGGGGGTTCAGAATTCACATGTTGAGCCTACCTTTCTTTCCCTACCCAATTTCAGGTATCTAAGGGCCCCTCAGGTCATCCACTGTTGTCTACAATTACATGCAGTAAGATGGGGGAAAGTGGCAGTAGGGGCAGTTCAGCAGAGTCCCTAATGGCCATGTCCAGGGAGGGGTGTCCTTTGTCCCCAGGGTATGGGAGGTGAGACTGGGCACCCCTATTTGCTTTTTTTTTTTTTTTTGAGACAGAGTCTCACTCTGTCACCCAAGCTGGAGTCCGGTGGCACGATCACAGCTCACTGCAGCCTCAACCTACCGTGATCCTCAGCCAAGCGATCCTCTTACCTCAGCCTCCAGAGTAGCTTGGAACACGGGTGCATGCCACCATGCCTGGGTAATTTTTAAATTTTTTGTACTGATGGAGTCTCCCTATGTTGCCCTGTCCAGTCTTGAACTTCTAGGCTCAAGTGATCCTCCTGCCCCAGCCTCCCAAAGTGCTGGGATTACAGATGTGAGCCACCATGCCCAGCTCCTCTTTGCATTTAAGGAGCTTCCCTTAGCTGAACAAAAATTTAGTTTTCAGGGGATTAACTCTTCTGTTGGATCTGGGAGGATGGGATTCAGAACTGTGCAGCTGGCTCCAGAGCTTCATGTTCCACACTTCCCATCGTTTGCCCCCCTGGAATGGGATAGAGGAGAGGGCACCAGTATCAGCTATCCACCTGTTTGCTAACGGTGGAGCATTATGGAGCTGTGGTCACCTGCCTCTTCTAACTCCAAATTTCAGGCATCACATCACCTGATTAAGTCTCAGATCTCCACTTCCAGTGGAGACTCAGTATATCTTCCCTTAAGGAGTTGCAGCGCTAATGGGGGCACACACAGCCTCTGCCCTGGGGTTTCAAGAAGAGCTTCATGCACTGGGTTTGGAGAAGACACAGAAATTTAGCCAGAGACTCCATCTAGGACATTAGAACATTGTCGCCCACGTTAAGTATCTTGCTCAAAAGAATGGAGTTGGCCGGGCGCGGTGGCTCACGCCTGTAATCCCAGCACTTTGGGAGGCAGAGGCGGGTGGATCACGAGGTCAGGAGATCGAGACCATCCTGGCTAACACAGTGAAACCCCGTCTCTACTAAAAATACAAAAAATTAGCCAGGCGTGGTGGCAGGCGCCTGTAGTCCCAGGTACTAGGGAGGCTGAGGCAGGAGAATGGCGTGAACCCAGGAGGCGGAGCTTGCAGTGAGCCGAGATTGTGCCACTGCACTCCAGCCTGGGTGACAGAGCGAGACTCCGTCTCAAAAAAAAAAAAAAAAAAAGAATGGAGTCGGCTGAGGTGGGTGGATTGCCTGAGCTCAGGAGTTTGAGACCAGCCTGGGCAACATGGTGAAACCTGTCTCTACTAAAATACGAAAAATCAGCTGTGTGTAGTGGCACACACCTGTAATCCCAGCTACTTGGGAGGCTGAGACAGGAGAATCGCTTGAACTTGGGAGGCAGAGGTTGCAATGAGCTGAGATCGTGCCACTGCACTCCAGCCTAGGCGACAGAGTGAGAATCCATCTCAAAAAACAAACAAAAAACCATCCCCAACAAAATAAAACAAAACAAAACAAAAATGGACTCAGGGCGATAAACTTTGGGGTCTTTCATCTGGAAAAGAGAAGTTTCCAAATGAAGAAAGTGGCCAGCGGCCAGGCGCAGTGGCTCACACCTTTAATCCCCAACACTTTGGGAAGCCAAGGCGGTTGGATCACCTGAGGTCAGGAGTTCGAGACCAACTTGGCCAACATGGCGAAACCTCATCTTCACTAAAAATACAAAAATCAACTGGGTATGGTGGCGCATACCTGTAATCCCAGCTACTAGAGGGGCTGAGGCTGGAGGATCACTTGAACCTGGGAGGTGGAGGTTGCAGCAAGCTCAGATTGTGCCACTGCACTCCAGCCTGGGCAACATAGTAAGACTCCATCTCCAAAAAAATAAAAAAAACTGCCAGGCAACAAACCAATGGGTGGAAGAGGGATTTATTCACTGTGTTCCACAAGGTCCAAAGTTAGAGATAGATGGCAGTTATAGGGAACCAATTTCCTCAGGTACAACCTAAGCATCTTCTCCTAACAGAGCCGTCCAAAAGGCAAAGTATGGCTCTGAGAAGACATGAGTCCTTGGCACCTGGCCCTCCGTCCCTGGCAGGGCCTGTGTTTGTTGAACTGCAAAAAGGCTGTGAGGACAGAGACTTGATGACATGGCAAGGTGGGTGTGCAGGGTTTGCTGCATAAGACGTGGGGAGCAGGCCCTTCCTCACTCTTCACCAAGATAACAAGAGGTGAGCAATGAAAATTGGGGGTACTGCTAGTAACACCATGCAGGTTGAACCTGGAAACCAGCAGAAGCACTGGGTAGGTGAAATCGGATCCTAGAAAGCTCATGAGCCGTAAGCAGGAGGGGGCAACCATGGGCTCCTGGGGTGGTTGTATGCAGGAAGAACTGAAGAAGGAGGCGGGAGGGGCCAGGGAGGCTGCACAGTTGTGATAACAGTAGGCACATCAGGGACCGGGGAGGTTTGGGGACCTGCTGCCTGAGGAAAGCTCAGGTTAGGGGCTGAAGGCCTAGGGGGACACAGAGATGGGAAGGGTTAGATTAGCTAGATTGTCTAGAGTTAGGGTTTCCCAAAGCCCAGCTCTTTGGGGCCTCTGCTCTCCCCACTACCTGCCCCTGGCTCCCTGGACACTTGAGAAGTTATACAATTAGCCAGATAGTAGAAAAAATACCTTTTTATTAATTATTAGGAATAATCCATTCATGTAATGCAGGATGTATGTTGGAGAAGGTTAAGTACAGCCACATGAATGAGGGGAAACGTGCAAGAGGAACAGTGGTGAGAAGGGGGATGGTCCCCCACTTTCCACAAACTATAAACAGCAACATGAACACAGAGAATCACAAATAAGAGGGTCTTTCCTCATGTCTCCTCTCACCCCATTCTTCCATAATGAGTCCCAGTTGGTCCCTAGAGGTGCCAGGGCATCTGGAAGTTCTGGGCTGGGAGTGGGGTGCAGTGAGTGGCCTCAAAGTTGTGCAGATGCTTCCGAGCCTGAGGAAAGGAGGTGGGACAGGTGGGGTACAGAGCACTGTTGGGAGGGGCAGCCACTGGACTCCCTCCCCACCCTCCACTTCCGCATCCACCACCCACTCTACAAAAGCTGCCACTTCCAATGCTTATAGGGTATCCCCAGTCCCCCTATGTGAGCCCTGGCCATTCAAGAACCCTTCCCACTTCCCACTCCTTAGCTCACCAGAAACAAAGCCAGCTGCCGCCGTCCATCTGCACTCATGTCCTCCCCTGCAGAGAGGAGGCGCTCAAAATAGGCCACACATCTGGGTATTCATCCCCTTCCTAGGCCCTTCCCACCCTCTCTCCTGCCCCAGGAGCTCCTTACCCACGCTCCAGGGGAAGTCAGGCCCGTGTTCTGCCTGGTAGGAGCGGAGGACAGACAGACACCAGTCCTCTTCCACCTCCCATCGGCTATAAATTGAGGCTGGTCAGGGAGAGAGATGACAGCCAGTCAGCAACCTGACCTTGCTGGGCCCCCGCCCCAAGCCTCACTGGATCCCTTCTCACCTTCCTCCAGCTGTGAGGAGGCCTCCAACCACTGCCTCACCACTCGAAGACCCTCCTCTGCCATCACCCGGGGATACCTACGGAGGAAGTGCCAGGACAGGTCAGGGCTGATTTTTTTTCATTCACCATCCCTGAACCTTCCTCCCTCCTTCCCTGTGCTGGTATCAGTATCTGTGTGTGTACACTGCCCCCAGCGCGCACACACCCTGGCTCTCACCGATGCTGCAGGAGCTTCAGCAGGAGGTCATTGCCTCGGTTGGACATGATGTCCTCAGGAACCCTGGGGGTGAGAAGAATGTACCCTGGAGGGGCTGGAGGTTAGGAGGAAGGGTCTAGATACCCAGGTTTCTGGTGGGCAGAGGTAGAAGGGACAAGTTCCTGGCCATCTCTGGGGTTCCTGAGGGCCGAGATTCCCACGCACTCACGTGGTGGTGATGATCTCATCCTTGGTTCTCCGGATCAGCAGTACAGGACCCTGGTATCTTCAGAGAACAGAGCAGTGGGAAGGGAGAGCTCAGAGGGAGACGGGTGACAACTGGCCCACCCCTATCCCTGCACTGGTAGCATTCTTACCCTCCCCTTGCTATAGCACAGCCCTTGACCTAGCCCTTCACTCAGGGGTGAGAGGGGATTATTTAAGGGGCATGGTTCAGTCTGGCCCTGCTGGGAGACCCCTGCCGTGCCAGGCCTTAACCCTTTGGTTGCCAGATCCTGAGGTGGTCCAGAGTCCCAGGGGACCTGGGAGGGGTTAGGCCAGTTGAGGTGGTGGCAGGGTCACTCAGGATGTGAGCCAGTGGCCTTTTACCAACTTGCACTTTAGTACTAGTTTCAGGGTTTGAGCGCCCAGCAGAGCTGTATGGGGGGCAGGTGTTCAATGCCGGACGCTGGCCGGCCCTCACCTGCACAGCTGCTCCGCGTTGTTTAGATTGAGATGCTGCCTCACGGTCCTGGTCACCAGGCCCCCTAGAGTGGGATAAAGGTGAAGGGATGGCAGAGACAAAGCCCTTGCCCAACATAAAGGTCCTCACTATTCACGGAGAAAGAAAACTGAGGCCCCCAGACAAAGGAGTCCTCCTGCTTCCAACAATGGGGCGACTTACTCCCCACCCAAGAAAAGGGAGCCATCTCAGAACAGTTCCCAGTTCCAGCCCACCCCTTCCCAGGAAGGGCAGGCCTGGGAGCTGCACTCACTCCAGCTGTCTGGCATGACCTTCAAGGCCAAGGGCACCAGGTCATCAAAGGAGGCATCCAGGATCATGGCACTAACATCTGGGTAGGACATGGCTGCCCACGTGGCTGGTACCAGGGCAGGGAAGAAGAGTAAGAACTGAGAAAGGCTCCTTTCTCCCCACCACCCATGCTCTCATCCCACTGACCCTATAGGCCAACCCCATTCCCCCTATGTTATCCCTTGTTTTTTTCTTAACCTACTTCACTTGGTTAGGGAACTATCTGGAGAGGATGGGGATAGAACACTGGAGATAGTGCACTGAAGATAATGGGCAGGAAACATTCACTTTCCCTGATCTCCCCACCCAGGACCTGGGTCTGCTTTTCCTTTTAATGACTGGGCACAAGAGGGGAAGGAAAGGTGAAGTGTATGCAAATAGGATAGCTTCTTCCAGGCCCACTCAGAGATTCTACTTCCTCTCTCTTCTTCCTTGAGCCTCCACCCCACCCCATTTCCCCACCTCTCCCGGGTGGGGCTGGGTGGTCATGAATGTGTCTACAGTGGGGGATGGGAGGGAGGCTGGTACCAGTGAAGCCGCCGATGGACCAGGCGTAGATGATGATGTCCTGGGGCTGGAAGCCCAGGCGGTGGATGGCAAACTGGACCACCACATCCATGGCATTAGCCTCATTCTGCGGGAATGGCACCCCCTGCAGGAGAAAGGGCAAAGTCAGGAGTGTGTCAGCACCAAAGGCCAGCTCACCTGTCCCTCCCAACGTGGACCCCTCCTGCAGCCACCTATGACAGGCAGAGAAGGTGTAGAAGGAAGGGATGGTAGGAGAGGTTGTTCTCTCCAGAAGACGGATGTGTACAATGAGATCTACCTCCTCCTCTCCTGCTAGCCCCGCACTGTGGGGATGGGGGCATGGCTCCCAATGCTGCCTTCACAACCTCCTAGACCCCAGCCCTCAGGTGAGTGGGAGGCCTTCAAGAAATCCACAGCCCCTCTCCTCCCTCCAATGGCTGACCAGAGGGAAACAGACATAATTCAGGAAAAGGAAGGGATTCCTGAGATGGTCTCACCGTGCTTCCAGCAAAGCCTGGATGATTCCAGCCCAGGACTGAATATCCAGCTGTAACACAGGGGGAGGAGGGACTGAGACCTTGTGGCCCACAGCCCTTTCTCCATCCCTGGGGGAAGGAAGAGCAGAAGTACCCCCCAGCTTAGATGCAAATAACTCCAAGCCTTCCCAGAAATAGGAGATGACACCAGAGGTTCTGAGGCAGCACAGGGAGCAGCATGTGATTGTGTGGGGTGTGTGGTGGGGGAATGGAACAGAATGAAAAGCATAATAGCTAGGGACACAGGCCAGGGGAGGGATGTAAGGTTATCAAAGCAAATGGCGAGTGGACTTTTCCCTAAAGCTGAGAGACTCAAAACCTCACCCAGAGAAAGCAGAGGCCAGGGGAGGTCAGGTCAGTGTGGGAGGCAGGGACATTCCCTTTCAAAGGGCGGAGATAAGGAGGCTGAGTCACCGTCCTACCTTCCAGGGGCGTGGAGACGCAGCCCACCTCATAAAACCCAGCATTCCCCTCACAGCAGATCACCTAGGAAGGAGGCAGGAAGGAAGGGCTGGGGGGCCAAGTTGGGACTGAAAAACTCCCTTTGGGCAGGGAGGGCAGCCCATGAAGAGCTTTGCAGGGAAGAGGAAAGGGCAGGTTTCTGTTTTCTCCAAGGGGAATGGAAGCTTCTCATTCCACAGGGTCCATAAGAGGAGAAGCAAAGGGATTACAAATACTCCTCAGAGGCTGACCTGCTCGACCACCCAGCCATGTCTTTTCCTTGGAAGATTACCAGCTGGATCTCTTTCAGGAAGGGGACTATGGAGATGTTTTTCCTTTCTCGTTTTCGGGTCTGTTATCTTCTGTGACCATTGCTATTGTGTGGTATGCTGATTGCTCTCCCTATCCCTCTCTGAGCTCCAGTCTTATGGTCAGATAAACTGTAATGCCATGGCGCCCCAAGCTGAAACCCACGAATGGTGGGATTTGCATGAACTCTCATAACAGATGGGCAGAGCCAGGACTAGAACCCAGCTCCCTAGACTCCTGGCTTAGCGCTCTTTCCACGGCTGCTTCATGGAGGTAGGAGACTTTGAGGCCAGGCTGCCTGGGTCCAAATACCAGCTCTACCACTTACTGTGAGGTCCAGGAAAGGTTTTCTGTGCCCCAGTTTCATCTCCTGTAAAATGGGCTAATATAAGCAGTACCTATCTCACGGGATTCTTTTGAGAATTAAATATATATGCTTCATATATATATGAGAATTAAATATATATAAGTGTGAAGTGCTGTCAAAGTGGTAACTATTAATATTAGTTTCTCGTCCTTGAACGTCTCTCCTACTTCATCTGTTTCTCTATCACAGGGTTTCACTACATCACAAGGTCTTTAGCGTGGAGCTAGGACATGAGATTATCCCCAGTAGTGGTTCCTTCAGGGAGGTGCTATAGCATTGGGGTCCCCAGACCTCTACTGCCTTCCTCACACTCACCCCACCTCTGGGCTCTCTGCTCCCTCTTACCAGCTTCTGTCCCTGGGGCTCAGCTGTCCCCCGCCGGTCCACAAACATGGTGTCAATCTCATTGCCATCACAGGCCAGCAGCTTTGCCCGGCGCCCATTACACTGAGTACGGAAGACGCAATGGCCAAGATGCAAGGGTCAGGAGGCCACATCACAGGGGTGGGGCGGGGTGGGTGGGGGTGAGAGGGGAGGGCTTTAGGGGATGTGCGGGCAGGGAAGCCTCACCTCTTCCACCAGTCGGGCCTGGCCCTGCAGCAGCACAGGCATGAGGGCCTTCTGCAGCAGGTACACAGAGCCTGGATACAGCATCCGGCGCCCTAGGGTGTGCGCCACCAGGTAGCTGTGGGGAACACAGGTTAACAAACCCCAACCCTGGTGAGGCCTGGGGACTGTGCTGGGGACCATCCCAGCCCTAGCACTCACAGACTGTAAGGCCTGCTTTACCCCTGACCTTCACAGCTTTACTTTCCTCTTTCAAGCCTTAATGAAATATGTACCAGGCTAGTGTTTTGCAAACTTTTCTTACTGCAACCTTTGTAAGATAAACATTTTATATTGTGGCTCAGTGCACACATATCCTGTATGTACAGAATTCTGAGAGTTTTATGATGTAACTGTCTATACATAATAAGTAAATGCAAAGTTATCATCAGATTATGATTCTGTTAAAATATAAGTACAACATATTAAAGGTCCCCAAATAAATAATGCTTTAAAAAATGATGGTTATAATTCAAAACCTCAAATATGGCTTGCCTCCCTGACTAATTAGCACACTGTCAACAACCAACCACTAAGTCCACCCTGTTCCTTGGTATTCTAGAAGCTGCCTCCTAACTCCCAGCAAAAGAAAATTCCCAGTGTCTGTTCCACTATAAGATATAGGTGGTTATTTCCGTTCCTTCTGACATCATCAGTACCCACGACTGAGCTTTATTTGGGATTTACCATGTGCTCTCAAGCACCCAGGCAAGGCAGGAGCCCTTCAGAACATGTTACCTTACTTAATCTCCTCAGCAACCTTGCAGGGCAGGTTCATCACAGGTGCAGACACTGAGGCACACAGGGGCCCGGAGCCAAGGTGGAATAACAACAGGGCAGAGGGGCCACGATGGGTACACAGATGCTACCAGAGCCTGCCCTAGCTACAAGTGTGTGTCCTCCCCACCCCCACCCCACCCCCACTGCTCCTTTTCAGCCTCACTGAAGGAGCTTTTGTTCATATCCCAGTTCTTTACTTACTACATTTGAGACTCCAGACCTCTCTGAGCCTCTTTTCTTCAAACATAAATATGGATAAAAATGACTTTGCCATAAATGATCTACACAAACCATACAGCACTAGGCCCAATGAGTGACAGCTATTTTACAATGGAGCGCCCACTCCCAGAGCACTCCTGAAATGGCCCCTCCACCCCAGTGGGCCTCTCCTCGCTGCTGTTTCCCACCTGGTGATCTGACAAGGCAGCTTCTTAACCCGGTTGAGGAGGGTGTCTGCTGTCCCCCGGTGCAGGGGCTCTGGGCGAAGCAGGGCCACACCCCGGCGGGAAGGGCCCCCTCGAGACTCCTTCCTGAGGAAGGGAAAGATGCAGGGAAGGATAGGGTCAGGAGCAGCAAGCTGGATGTCTGAGGTCTGGAGAACAGTGGGGTCTAGGAACGACATAATGGCATTGGAAGGCAGGCACTGTGACCTGAGAGGGCATGGAGGTGGGAGGGCAGAGCAGAGATTTTCTGGAATGGTTCTAAGGGGAGAGATACAGCAAAAGAACTGGGGCCTCACCGGCTGCTGGGTTCTTCCCAGTGGAAGTCGACTGGCCAGCTCCGGAAGTCAAAGTTGTAGTTGGCAAGCTGCCTCTGCAGTGGGCACGAGAGGCAAAGGGGTACTGAGAACTCAGGGGAGGCTCTCCTACCCACCCTCAACAACACCTTCGTTATCCAGGGGTCTGATCCCCACACATCATGGGGAAACCAAGCGGAGGTCAATACCCTCCCAATTCTCAGATGGAAAATTCTAACAGGACCAGAAAATCAGGGGAGATGGTATGCCCCATCAGGTATCAGGACTGGCCTGTCTGCCCTCTTCCAAGCTAAGAACCTAACACTCTGCTTTTCTAAAAAACTAAGTCTGACCCACCCCCAGGAGGAGTGGCTGAAGGTGCTAGTGCTTTTGAGTGACGGGTAGTAGGGGTCGCTGGCTGGTCACGGTCTATTCCCCACCTGGGTCCCTTATAGGGTGCTGTCTTAGAAGCTTAGAAATCTCCCAGCAGATCACACTGACAGACCCAAGGTTGAGTGAGACAGAGAGGAGGGAAGTCACGCCCACAGTGGGCTCCTCTGCCATGTGGGGCCACCCGTTGAAGGAAGCTCTGACTTCCATCCTCACAACTACATCCCTTCCTCAACTCCTGCAGCCATGGATCAGTGTTGCCCTACAGCCCATCCGAACCTCGGGCCACCCCACTGAGCCAGTCCACATGCCTTTTTTTTTTTTTTTGAGGCAGGGTCTCGTGCTGTTGCCCAGGCTGGAATGCAGTTGGTGCAATCATAGCTCACTGCAGCCTCAAACTCCCAGGCCCAAGTGATCCTCCTACCTTAGCCTCTGGAGTAGCTGGGACTACAGACATGTGCTACCATGCCCAGCTAATTTTTAAAATTTTCTTTAGAGACAAGGTCTTACTATGTTGCCCAGGCTGGTCTCCAACTCCTGGGCTGAAGCGATCCTCCTGCCTTGGCTTCCGAAAGTGCTGGGATTATAGGCATGAACCACCTCACCAGCTCCACGTTTTTTGACGGCAGTGGGAGCTGTGTCTTTTTTTTTTTTTTTTTTTTTTTTTTTTGAGATGGAGTCTCACTCTGTCGCCCAGGCTGGAGTGCAGTGGCGCGATCTCGGATCACTGCAAGCTCTGCCTCCCGGCTTCACGCCATTCTCCCGCCTCAGCCTCCAAGTAGCTGGGACTACAGGTGCCTGCCACCACCATGCCCGGCTAATTTTTGTACCTTTAGCAGAGATGGGGTTTCACCATGTTAGCCAGGATGGTCTTGATCTCCTGACCTCGTGATCCACCCGCCTCGGCCTTCCAAAGTGCTGGGATTACAGGTGTGAGCCACCGCGCCCGGCCTAGCTGTGTCTTAATACTTGACTATATTCGTCCCCCACCCCCTGAGCTCCTAGCACTCTATTTTGAGGGTTTTTATTTTCTGCACAGAAATTTTTTGACATTTCAAAAATAATTTGACTAACAGAG
This sequence comes from Homo sapiens, assembly GCF_000001405.40. Taxonomy (NCBI): domain Eukaryota; kingdom Metazoa; phylum Chordata; class Mammalia; order Primates; family Hominidae; genus Homo; species Homo sapiens. The sequence goes on from NT_167248.2 coordinate 2,950,648, forward strand.
AGCAATAGAAAAATTATACAAAAAGGTAAATGGCAAAACAAAACAAGATGACTAAAAGCAAATTTCAGGCAGGCTTTGCTCAGACCTGCTCTCAAATCTGGACTTAGCCACTTTCTTGCTCTATGACTCCGAATGGGTCACTTAACCTCTTTTTGCCTCTGTTTTCTCACATTTACAAATAAAGGTAATAATGCCACCTCACTCAGCTGTTGTGAGGATCAGAAAGGGTGTGTGCCAAATGCTTCAGCCAGTAGCATAGTACAGGGCATCATTACGCAGCTCCATAGTGTGGAGTAGCCAGGAATGTGATGATGGTGGTCATAGCTGTTTGATCCTAGAAACCTCCCATAACAGAAAAGAGCTTTATGGGGCCCCAAAGCCCATCCTCAAAGATAATCACAGTCCAGCACCAGCCGGCTTGGCATAATTCCCAAGACACTGAGCCCTAGCTTTTCTCCCTCCTGGCACCATGCTGTACTCCCAGGCATAGGAGTGGACACACCTGTCCACCTTGTCCCATCCACAAACAAGGATAGCATGGTATTCAATGCATACAACAAAATTAAACATTTATAGAACTGAGCTGCTGTGATACAGAGAAAACTACCTTCTAAGAAACATTGTGGGCTGGGTGCAGTGGCTCACACCTGTAATCCCAGCACTTTGGGAGGCCAAGGCAGGTGGATCACCTGAGGTCAGGAGTTTGAGACCAGCCTGACCAACACAGCTAAACCCCATCTCTACTAAAAATACAATATTAGCTGGGCGTGGTGGCGCATGCCTGTAATCCCAGCTACTTGGGAGGCTGAGGCAGGAGAATCGCTTGAACCCAGGAGGCGGAGGTTGCAGTGAGCTGGAATCATGCCATTGCACGCCAGCCTGGGCAACAAGAGCGAAACTCCATCTCAAAAGAAAAAAAAAGAAACACTGTGGGCCAGGCACAGTGGCTCACACCTATAATCCCAGCACTTTGGAAGGCCAAGGCAGGCAGATCGTCTGCAGTCAGGAGTTCAAGACTAGCCTGGCCAACATGATGAAACCCTGTCTCTGCTAAAAATACAAAAATTGGCCAGGCACGGTGGCTCACGCCTGTAATCCCAGCACTTTGGGAGGCCGAGGCAGGCGGATCACAAGGTCAGGAGATCAAGACCATCCTGGCTAACATGGTGAAACCCCGTCTCTACTAAAAATAAAAAAATTAGCCGGGCGTGGTGGCAGGCGCCTGTAGTCCCAGCTACTCAGGGGGCTGAGGCAGGACAATGGCATGAACCCGGGAGGCCGAGCTTGCAGTAAGCTGAGATGGCGCCACTGCACTCCAGCCTGGGCGACAGAGTGAGACTCCGTCTCAAAAAAAAAAAAAAAAAATTAACTGGGCGTGGTGGTGTGCACCTGTAATTCCAGCTACTCAGGAGGCTGAGGCATGAGCATTGTTTGAACCCGGGAGTTGGAGGTTGTAGTAAACTGAGATTGTACCACTATACTCCAGCCTGAGTAAGAGTGAGACTCTGTCTCAAAGAAGAAAAAAAAAAAAAGAGGCCAGGAGTGGTGGCTCACGCCTGTAATCCCAGCACTTTGGGAGGCTGGGGCAGGCAGATCGCCTGAGGTCATGAGTTGGAGACCAGCCTGGCCAACATGGTGAAACCCCGTCTCTACAAAAAATACAAAAATTAGAGGGTGTGGGTGGTGCGTGCCTGTAATCCTAGCTACTCAGGAAGCTGAGACAGGAGAATCACTTGAACCTGGGAGGTGGAGAGTGCAGTGAGCCGAGATCGTGCCATTGCACTCCAGCCTGGGCAACAAGAGCGAAACTCCATCTCAAAAAAAAAAAAAGAAAAAGAAAAAAGAAACATTGTGGAATGTTTCTAGTTTAGCCAGTTCTTACAGGTGAGGGAGGGGGAAGATTGTTCTAGCAGAATATTCCATTAGAAGTGGTAGGGAGGAAAAATTCCTCAGGTGGACAGTTCACTAATGGAGGTGAGAAGGGATACAGCAATGTGCAAGCAAACACCCAGTGTGGTGGGTGGTAAAACACACCTCCTCTTCCTGCAGAAGCCAGTGTCTGGTGCTCTGAGGGACAACTGAGAAAGCTGCTATTGGGTGCCTGTGTGGCACTTTTCCTAGGGCCTCTCACCTTGTTTTCTGAAGACTGGTTCCGATGTGTTGCTTCCAAGATGGTGATGAACTGCCGGTACTGGGGGTTGGTCCAGCGGCCAATGCCTGGTAGAAAAAGGACAGGAAACAGTGCTAGGAAAACTGGGAAGCAGAAAGCCTAGGTTTTAGGAAAAGAATTGGAGATGGGCTAGAAGAAGGCCCTGTAAGAAAAAGTGAAAGAAAAAGGAACTGAGGGCATAGGATGCGGAGAAATAGATGTGAGCCAACCCCCTTCCTCCAAATCCAGCAACTGGCTACAGGACGCTTCTTCTCCCTAGCTTCTGCAGTTTGTGTCTTTATAGACAATCCTTAACCTACCATCTTCCAGAATGTTCCTCTTCCTCAGTCTTTAAACACTGTCATATAACCTATTAAATGACACTATTAAACACTATCATATAATACTATTCTCCCTTGCGAATATCAAATTTCTCTATTTTTCACTGCCACTCTTCTCCAATGTTTGCTTTCTGCCTCTTTTCTGTATATTCTAGCCCCTTGCCATCTGGCTTCAGAGTCTCCGACTCCTGCCCATAATTACTTCCTCACTGAATTCCTGACTCTTCTATCCTCATTCTCTTCAACTGTACTACTCAGCATTCTCCCTGTCCCTCAAGATTCTTCCTGCCTCTGCTTCCTGGGCCCATCCTTGACTCCTTCCAGTTCCTGAACAGTTCCTCTCCTGCCTCCTTTCTGCTTTCCTTTCTGAAGCAGAAGCAACTCTCAGTGCTGACTCTCTCTCCTCTCTCTTTTCACTTACACAGTCAGTGATTGCATCCACTCTCCTTTCACTGCTGAGCCACCTCAAACCCTAACTTCTCTCCTCACTGACTTGGCAGGTGTCGTGTGTCAGACAGGCACCGTACTACACACGGGAGACTCAGCAGGAAATGAGATACACAGCTCCTGGCTCTCAGAGAGCTGGCATTCTGGTTGGGGTTAGGTACAGCCAGGAGAAGACAATAAACAACATTTCAGAGAGGGATAAGTGCTACAGAGAAAATACAACAAGAATGAACCAGAACTTTATGTGTCATCAATGGTATTCCCCCAAAACGATATGATGAGAGAATGATGTGTGCTGCAGAATGATTTGTACAACATTTATGCCAAAAATGTAAAATGTGCAAAATAATACATACTGCTTATAGATACCATATTTCATAGATTCTAAAATGTATATTTTTTAACCCTTGAAAACTCTGAAATTAGAATTCATTTTACAATTGATGGCAGCTTAGACTTGAGGAACTGAGGTATATGTTTCATAAAAGTATGTGCCAGAAAAAAAAAAAAACCCACACCAAATGACAATTATTACTTCTGAGGAAAGAGGAAGATGGGACTGAAAGGATTCCAATGGGAACTCCAACCCTAACTGTGGTGCTTTAGTATTTTGTTGACAGAAAGCATTTAAAGCAAATATCACAAAACTATATATAAAAAAAAAATCACAAAACTATACATCAAAAAATTTAAAAAGGCTTTTATATTTTGTTCTCTGGACTTTTCTGTATTTTTTCTTTTTTCTTTTTTTTGAGACAGAGTTTTGCTCTTGTTGCCCAGGCGGGAGTGCAATGATGTGCTCTCGGCTCACTGCAACCTCCGCCTCCCGGGTTCAAGTGATTCTCCTGCCACAGCCTCCCAAATAGCTGGGATTACAAGCGCCCGCCACCATGCACAGCTAATTTTTTCTGTATTTTTTCTAAATTAAAAATAAATAAAATAAAAAACTAAGACAAAACTGAGCAGTGGGAGCTACTTTTAGACAGGGTGGTCAGGGAAGGCCTCTCTGAGGAGAGAGCCCAGCCCTGCAGAGATCAGGGGGCAGAACACCTCAGGCAGAAGGTCCTGGACCCAACTGTGACCATCCAGCCCTGACCCCACCACCCCCATGTTGAAGCATCGCCCATCACCTGGTTGTCATCTTATGTACCCACTAGGGGTAGGTGATCTGTCCTCTTTATTTTTTTAAATTGCGAGATACAACATATGTACATAAAACATATATTCAGTTTAAAAAATACAAAGCAAACATTCATGTGACTATCACCTAGGTCAACAAAGAGAACACAGCCACCTCTCAGCAGGGCTCTCCCCCACTCTGTTCTCCCCCACCCCAGGTAATCACTCTCCTAACTTTTGAGAAAAGCATGCCCTTGCTGGGCGCGGTGGCTCAAGCCTGTAATCTCAGCACTTTGGGAGGCCGAGGCGGGTGGATCACGAGGTCAGGAGATTGAGACCATCCTGGCTAACACGGTGAAACCCCATCTCTACTAAAAAATAAAAAAAAACCTAGCCGGGTGTGGTGGTGGGCGCCTGTAGTCCCAGCTACTCGGGAGGCTGAAGCAGGAGAATGGCGTGAACCCGGGAGGCGGAGCTTGCAGTGAGCCGAGATCGCGCCACTGCACTCCAGCCTGGGGGACAGAGCGAGACTCCGTCTCAAAAAAAAAAAAAAAAAAAAAAGAAAACCATGCCCTTGTTGTCTTCGGTGTTCTACCTCAAACATGCACATCCCTTTTGAATTTTATATAAATGAAAACATACTGCATACATTATTTTGTGGTTAGCTTCTTCTATTTAACACAACATTTGAGAAATTCATCTGCATTGCTTTTGTTTATCTGGAGACAGAGTCTCGCTCTGTCACCCAGACTGGAGTGCAGTGGTGCTATCTTGGCTCACTGCAACCTCTGCCTCCCAGGTTCAAGCAGTTCTCATGCCTTAGCCTCCCAAGCAGTTAAGACTATAGGCATGTGCCACCATGCCCAGTTAATTTTTTGTATTTTATTTTTTCTGAGATGGAGCCTTGCTCTGTTGCCCAGGATGCAGTACAGTAGCGCAATCTTGGCTCACTGCAACCTCTGCCTCTTGGATTCAAGCAATTCTACTGCCTCAGCCTCCCGAATAGCTGGGATTACAGGTGCTCACCACCATACCTGGCTAATTTTTTTTTGTATGTTTAGTAGAGACGGGGTTTCACCATGTTGGACAGACTGGTCTTGAACTCCTGACCTCTGGTGATCTGCCTGCTTCAGCCTACCAAACTGCTAGGATTACAGGCATGAGCCACTGCACCTGGCTTCATCTGCGTTGTTGAGCGTAGCTACAGTTTGTTCATTTGCATTGCTATATAGTGTTCTCTTGCATGGCTATTGCATGGAACTTTTTTTTTTTTTTGAGACGGAGTCTTGCTCTGTTGCCCAGGATGGAGTGCAGTAGCGCAATCTCGTCTCACTGCAACCTTTGCCTCCCAGGTTCAAGCTATTCTCCTGCCTCAGCCTCCTAAGTAGCTGGGATTACAGGCATGTGCCACCATGCCCAGCTAATTTTTGTATTTTTGGTAGAGACGGGGTTTTACCATGTTGGTCAGGCTGGTCTCAAATTCCTGACCTCGTGATCCACTGGCCTCTGCCTCCCAAAGTGCTGGGATTACAGGCATGAGCCACCACACCCGGCCACACAGAACATATTTTATCCATCCTACTATTTGTAGCCACTGGAGTTGTTTCCAGCTTAGGATTATTACAAACAATGTTGTATGCTGTATTCTTGTACATCTATATTGTTTATACATGTGCAGGAGTTTTCCTAGTATGTATACATATATAGAATTGTTGTAGGGTATATGCATCTTTTCTAGATAAAAGCAGCCAGGCATAGTGGCTCACATCTATAATCCCAGTACTTCGGGAGGCTGAGGTGGGAGGATCACTTTGAGTTCAGGAGTTTGAGACCAGCCTGGACAACATGGTGAGACCCTATCTCTTAAAAAAAAAAAAGCAAACCTTTTTGTTACTTTTCAGTAATTTTTTATATTTATAACCCAAGTCTTTTAAGGAAAAGATCATGCCTTAAACCATTCTCAATGATTCCCTCTCGGAGGCCCATCACTAAAATGTATTTGCACAAGGTACTTAATTTTTAACCAGTGACAGTGACAGATAAGATTCAAACCAGGTTTCCTCTCCACCTACCTCGGAGGCAGGCCACACCTGCCAGAAGTAGCAGCAATGTCCCAGCATAGTGAGAAAACGGCACCACTTTGGACAAACTCAAGTAACCTGGGAAGGGAGAGGGACAATGTGAGACCCTCTCCGCAATGTCCCTCAGCTCCTCTTCCCAGTTCAGCCCCAACCTCCACCCCACACTCCCTGTTTGGAACAGCCATACCCTAAGAGGAAGAAGATGCCTGATGGAAGAGGGAAGCCAAGCCATCTTCACAGGTCCCCTCTCCTCTTTAGGGAGCTGGCTCATCTGCCAACAACCTGCCCATTTGCTACCCCACCACCTTTGAAACCACACTGACCTTTCCTGTACAAGTAGAAGAAGGCGAAGGGAGAGGAGTAATAAGAGATGGACCAGAATACTGAAGCCTGCAGCAGAGAGACAGGGACAGGCAATCAATACACACACACACACACCTGCCATTCCAGGCATATACTATACACTCTGAGCAAGATGGACAACCTGAGGGATATCATATCATATTTGGTGTATGACACCATGAATACAGTAGGTGCTCAGTATTTGTTGAAAAGTAGTGTGTCAATGTAATGGAGGCTGGGAAAATTTGGTACAGGCTCTATTTTCTTCCTCTGGAATTATGGAAGAATTATGTCTTCCATCTCCAGACATAATTCCATCACATTTAAAGGCAGTCTCTCTGTCTACTCAAGTTAATCAAGCCTTTTCAATTGGCCCTGCTCAGGACAGCCCCTGGCCTGGTCCCCAAGAGATGCGCAAACGTCACCACAGGAACTGTGCCAGAAAGAACAGCTGTCCCTGCAGCCAAAGAGGTTAGTTGCCAGGGAGGACAGGTCACTGGGGAACTGCAGGACTTAGCACCTGCAGATGGTCCCAAGAGTAAACATGTTTTCCTTACGGCTCAGGTTGCCCCCAGAGAAAGCAGTGCTACATACCAAAGGGGAGTGCCAAGTATGCACATTTAGAGTGTGCCTGTGTGTCTGTGTTGGAGAGGTCTGCTGCAGAGCCCAGGGCATCCCCCAACCCCAGGGCACTGTTGCTCCCAAGTTAGGGAGGGCTAAGTTCAAGAGGACAGGTGGGTCTGAAAGATGCAGAGTCCCAGATGCCAGGGTAGACATACCAGTGCCAGGATGCTGTCAGCATGTTTCTCCAGGGCACGGGGCTGATAGTACGTATCCTGCCAAAACAGATGGCCTCCTTAAGGACCCTGCCCACTGGCAGGTCCTTTCCCTTCCCTTTCAGAAGCCCTGCTGTGTGTCCTCTGGTTCTAGTCTCGTTGACTATCTCTCTTGAAACATCCCTGGCCCCCACAGAAACTCCTCTTCCTCACCCTCACTCTGAACCTAATTTCCCACCCCTGACCATGGGAACAAACACAGGGAGCTGGATTTGGAAGCAAAAGTGAAAGCAGCATTGGACGATTTTTGCTCCTTTTCCACAGCCTAGTTTCAAATGGATTGCAGGCGCGTGCATGTGGGGAGAAGGGTTAGTTTGAGAAGAAAGAAAAGACACCTAGACAATCTAAGAAGGAAAGAAAAGCATCAGAAATAAGAGTAGTTGACTAAGAAGAGAATGTGGGTAGGAGCGGGCAGTTTGTAGGAGACAGTAACACAATGAGACAACTGATAAAAAGGAAGAGAATATTTAGAACAGCCTACCACCACCCGCCAGCTCTCCAGAATACAATGACTCGGGTCTCCAGGCTAGGTTGGGCGGGGGTTGAGGGGAGGACCGACGGATACAGGATCTGTAAAAGTCATTCTGAAATTCAAGGCGAGGGTAAAGGGAAGATAAAAACAGAGCCGGGGGAGGCATGAAGAGGCACTGAAGAAGAGGAAACTGGGAGTCTGACAGCAAAATTCAACGGCTCCCCAGTCCGCGCAGGGTCTCTTCCCGGGACTCAAGACTCAACTGGGACCGGCACGAACCACGACACACAGGGTCGGGGGGACGCGGAGAGGAAAGAACAAAGAGTGGCAGTCGGAATGAGAAAGCGGTAAAGAGCGAAAAAGAAAGGAGGCGGCCAGTCCGTAGGCGTGACTTTAACTCAGGAAGCACACAGAGCGCAGATTTTGCGGATAACTGGCTTGACAAGCAGGCTCCCCTTATTTCCCATTATGGGCACTTCTGGGGAGCAAAAGGCCGTAAAGGGTTTGGACTGTACCACGTTCTTCGGTGGGGAGGAACTCGACTCACCCAGGAGCTGGAATGGGGGGCAGTGACTGCCGTTGGCGTCTCAGGGACGCTGGCCGGGGCCCTTTCAGAGTCCCTCTCCCGGTAGATTTTGTAGAGCCGGGGGCCTAGGACGCAGCTCAGCAGCTTCGCCATGGCCCCGGCTCGGGCCGCTGCTCTTCCAGCAGCAGGTCCCCCTGCCGGCCCCGCCCTCCCTGCCTCTGAGGTGTTGTGTGCCCTTGACGTCAGCCCGTACCGGCTCCGCCTCCGGGCGAGTTGCGACATTTTCAGTGCTTCCTGAGAAGAGTTTCGCGCAGTTGGAGCTACGGGTACAGCAGTGGTCCGAAACTAGTGGAAGACCACTAGAACGCGGAGAATCAGAAAATTACCGGGCATGGTTCAATAATTTTTTTCTGTCTCATTATTGGCAGACTCTAGAGCGACAGCGGAAACGAGGGGTGAGATTAGGAGTACTTGATAAGAGTAACCGAAAACATAAGGTGTCTAGGAATGTATCTAGTACAAGAAATGCAAGGTTTTATGAAGAAAACTATAAAAAGTTATTGAAAAGGCAAACTGGCCCGGCCCGGCGCAGTGGCTCACGCCTGTAGTCCTAGCACTTTGGGAGGCCGAGGCGGGGGGATCACTTGAGGCCAGGAGTTCGAGACCAGCCTGGCCAACATGGTGAAACCCCATCTCTACTAAAAATACAAAAATTAGCCTGGCATGGGTGGTGCGCGCCTGTAATCCCAGCTACTCGGGAGGCCGAGACGCGAGAATCGCTTGAACGCGGGAGGCAGAGGTTGCAGTGAGCCGAGATCTTCCCACTGCACTTCAGCCTTGGTGACAGAGCAAGACTCTGTCTCTAAATAAATAAATAAAGGTAAACTGGCCCAGCGCGGTGGCTCACGCCTGTAATTCCAACACTTTGGGTGGCCGAGGGATGATTGCTTGCGTCCAGGAGTTCCAGGCCATGACTCATGCCTGTAATTCCAACACTTGGGGTGGCTGAGAGAGGATTGCTTGCGCCCTGGAGTTCCAAGCCAGCCCAGGCAACATAGTGAGACCCCATCTCTACACAAAATACCAAGGGGGAAAAAAAAAAGACCTAGCAGGGTGTGGTGGTGCCCACCTGTAGTCCCAGCTACTTGGGAGGCCAAGGTGGGAGGGTCGCTTGAGCCCGGGAGTTTGAGATCGCTCCATGCACTCCAGCCTGGGTGACAGAGCCAGACCCTGCCTCAAAATAATAACAATAATAATTGAAAAAATAAAAAAAGAAAGAGGTAAACGAAAAGCTTTTCAATAAATGGAAAGCTACACCATGGTCCTGGATACGAAAATTCAGCACAGTAAGATATGCGGAATATTTGTAAAAAGAAAATAAATGAATCATTACTGTTATGCATGAACTGGATCTTAAAACCATGATGCTGAGTGAAAATAGAAAGCCACAGAAGAATGTATACGTGATACTAGTATATTAGATTCAAAAACACATAAAATTTAATGATAAAGCAAGTGGAGAAGAAAGAGAAAATTCAGAATTGTGGTTACACAGCATAGAGGATCTCTGACTGAAACGGAATATTCTTTTTTTCTGTTTTTTTTTTTTTTTTTTTTTTTGAGACAGGGTCTAGCTCTTTCACCCAGGCTGGAGCACAGTGGCACAATCACGGCTCACTGCCCTGATCCTCCACCTGCTGGGCTCAACCATCTTTCTGCCTCAACCTCCTGAGTAGCTGGGACTATAGGCCCACACCACCATACTCGGCTAATTTTACAAGGTCTCACCATGTTGCCCAGGCTGGTCTCGAACTCCTGGGCTCAAGTGAACCTCCTGCTTTGGCCTCACAGAGTGCTGGGATTACAGGCATGAGCCACTGTGCCTGGCCTGGAATATTCTATTTCTTTTTCTTTTTTTTTTTTCGAGACCGAGTTTCGCTCTTATTGCCCAGGCTGGAGTGCAATGGCCCGATCTCGGCTCACCACAACCTCTGCCTCTGGGGTTCAAGCGATTCTCCTGCCTCAGCCTCCCAAGTAGCTGAGATTACAGGCATGTACCACCATGCCCTGCTAATTTTTTTATTTTTAGTAGAGATGGGGTTTCTCCATGTTGGTCAGGCTGGTCTTGAACTCCTGACCTCAGGTGATCCGCCTGTCTCATCCTCCCAAAGTGGTGGGATTACAGGCATGAGCAACCGAGTCCGGCCTGGAATATTCTATTTATTTATTTATTTATTTATTATTTATTTATTTTTTTGAGACGGAGTCTCGCTCTGTCACCAGGCTGGAGTATAGTGGCATGATCTCTGCTCACCGCAGCCTCTGCCTCCTGAGTTCAAGCGATTCTCCTGCCTCAGCCTCCTGAGTAGCTGGGACTACAGGCATCCACCACCACACTCAGCTAATTTTTGTATTTTTAGTAGAGACAGGGTTTCACCATGTTGGCCAGGATAGTCTCGATCTCTTGACCTCGTGATCCGCCTGCCTCAGCCTCCCAAAGTGCTGGGATTACAGGCGTGAGCCACGGCATCTGGCCTTTATTTTCAGAGTTGGGGTCTTGCTCTGTTGCCCAACCTCAAACTTCTGGCTTCAATCAACCCTCCCACCTTGGCCTCCAAAAGTGTTAGGATTGTAGACATGAGCCACCATGCCTGGCCAGGCTTCTTTTACTCTCATTATATTGTGAGATTCAACTTTGTTGCAAATCACTAGGTTTGTTCATTCTCATTGCTGTCCAGTCTTCTACTCTGTTAAGCATTTATCCATTATATAGTTGTACTTCATATAGTTTTTGGTATGTATGGAATATTTCATCAAAATAATTTTAAAAATAAATAAATTACACATTAAAACTGTAATAACTGCATGAAGATCTGCCTTAGGAGTTTTTGCCGTTCAGAAGGATGAATCAGCCCGTTAGCCTTGTCCCTGAGTAATAATTTAATACACTTATTAGGGTTTCAGGAGAGGTCCGGGGTATGCCAGACAACCACAGGGAAAGTCATTCCAAATCATTTACGGGACACTGACTCGATACACAGTCTTGTGCTGGGTTCTGTGGAGGACCAACATAAAAACTCAAACTCAGTTTCTTCACTCATAGCTGACATTTCTTTTCTTTTTCTTTTTTTTTTTTTTTTTTTTTTTTGAGATGAAGTCTCGCTCTGTCTCCCAGGCTGGAGTGCAGTAGCACGATCTCGGCTCACTGCAACCTCCACCTCCCGGGTTCAAGCGATTCTGGTGCCTCTCAGCTTCCTAAGTAGCTGGGATTACAGGCACATGTCACCACGCCTGGCTAATTTTTGTATTTTTTGTAGAGACAGGGTTTCGCCATGTTGGCCACGCTGGTCTCGAACTCCTGACCTCAAGTGATCCACCCAACTCATGGCTGACCTTTCTTAGGAGTGAAAGAGACCTCAGAATGTACTTCCAGACTGACAAGAGCTAGACAGGCAGGACCACTTCTCTGCATGGTTTTTTGCATGGAAAGTCTTTATTTGAGCCCCTTAGCTGATGTGGAATCAGAAGAGCAAAAAGGTCATCTTCAGAGTGGCCTGGGCTGGGTCCTTTTCTCTCCAGGATAGAAAAGTGGTGGTCACTTTATCCCTAGTAGACATGCTGCTGGGCTTTATCGCCCCAGCATTCCCATCCCCTCCAGAGCCCCTTGTCACTCCAGACCAGCGAGTGTGGGCCTTTATCTGGACTCTGCTTCCTCCCTGGGGACACCAGGTCTTGGAGCAAGAGAACTTGGCAGGCTCTCCCCATGGCAGTCTTATTCCTCCTCCTGTTCCTATGTGGAACTCCCCAGGCTGCAGGTAAGGGGCAAGAGGTACGGGATTCCTTAGCTATTTGCAAGGTTGGGGAGGGACTACTGCTCTTTCTCCTAGGAGCCTGGCGAAGGCATCTGACTCAAGAAGATAGAATTACCCCAACCAACCTCCTCCTGCCTCTGACACTAGGGAAGACCCAGAGGCAACGAGGGTCCAGGTTATGCAGTTTCCTTTATAAAATAAGAAGAATGAGTAAATGCTTCCAGAAAAGTAGAAATGAGTAGAAGAGATGTGGGCATTTGCCAACTTTCAGCCTTTTCCCTCTTGCCCTCAGACCCCCTCACTGGCTGGGGGAGAGAGGAGGAAAGCCCTTACCCTCTTCTCTCCACCTGTCTTATTTTTGTAGCTGTCACTTGAGAAATGTGGTCACCAGCCAGGCCTGTGCTGGGGGACCCCAGAAGGGAAGGAAGCCAGGGTTGAAGATCAAATGGGGGGTTATTGATCTGATGGAGGTCTCTGGCCTCATACAACCCTCTTCCCACAGACAACATGCAGGCCATCTATGTGGCCTTGGGGGAGGCAGTAGAGCTGCCATGTCCCTCACCACCTACTCTACATGGGGACGAACACCTGTCATGGTTCTGCAGCCCTGCAGCAGGCTCCTTCACCACCCTGGTAGCCCAAGTCCAAGTGGGCAGGCCAGCCCCAGACCCTGGAAAACCAGGAAGGGAATCCAGGCTCAGACTGCTGGGGAACTATTCTTTGTGGTTGGAGGGATCCAAAGAGGAAGATGCCGGGCGGTACTGGTGCACTGTGCTAGGTCAGCACCACAACTACCAGAACTGGAGGGTGTACGACGTCTTGGTGCTCAAAGGTGAGTGGGGGCATGCAGACCAGGGGCTACTGTGGCCCAGGAAGTCCAGGTGAAGAACTGAGGAATCCCTCTCTCCCCTACAGGATCCCAGTTATCTGCAAGGGCTGCAGATGGATCCCCCTGCAATGTCCTCCTGTGCTCTGTGGTCCCCAGCAGACGCATGGACTCTGTGACCTGGCAGGAAGGGAAGGGTCCCGTGAGGGGCCGTGTTCAGTCCTTCTGGGGCAGTGAGGCTGCCCTGCTCTTGGTGTGTCCTGGGGAGGGGCTTTCTGAGCCCAGGAGCCGAAGACCAAGAATCATCCGCTGCCTCATGACTCACAACAAAGGGGTCAGCTTTAGCCTGGCAGGTAAACTGAGGAAGGAGACGGAAAGGGATGTTCTTTCACTTCAGCCTCCCAAGTAGCTGGAATTACAGGCGCCTGCCACCATGCCTGGATAATTTTTTGTACTTTTAGTAGAGACGAGATTTCACCATTTTGGCCAGGCTGGTATCAACCTCCTGACTTCTAGTGATCTGCCTGCCTCAGTCTCCCAAAGTGCTGGGATTATAGGCATGAGCCACCGCACCTTTAAATTTTTTGTAGAGACAGGATCTTGCTATGTTGCCCAGTCTGGTCTCAAACTACTGGCCTCAAATGATCCTCCTATCTTGGTCTCCCAAAGTGCTGGGGTTACAGGCATGAGCCATCACATCTGGCTATTTTTTCTTGAAAGAAAGGGTGAATTACTATAAAGGGTGTGAGGGGAAAGTGTGGTTATGGCTGGTGGTCTGCTCTGTAGTTGGTTGCCCATGCGTGAGCAGGGGGCATTGCCATTCTCTACTTTTTATTTTATTTTATTTTATTTTATTATTATTAGGCCAGGCATGGTAGCTCAATCCTGTAATCCCAGCACTTTGGGAGGCCGAAGCAGGCGGATCACTTGAGGTTGGGAGTTCAAGACCAGCCTGACTAACATGGAGAAATTCTGTCTCTACTAAAAATACAAAATTAGCCGGGTATGGTGGCACATGCCTCTAACCCCAGCTACTCGGGAGGCTGAGGCAGGAGAATCACTTGAACCTGGGAGGTGGAGGGCGCAGTGAGCCAAGATCACGCCATTGCACTCCAGCCTGGGCAACAAGAGCGAAGCTCTATCTCAAAAAAAAAATTGTATTTTTAGTAGAGACGGGGTTTCACCATGTTGGCCAGGATGGCCTTGATCTCTTGACCTCATGATCTGCCTGCCTCAGTCTCCCAAAGTGTTAGGATTATAGGTGTGAGCCACCACGCCTGGCCTTTTTTTTTTTTTTTTTTTTTTTTTTTGGGATGGAGACTTGTTCTGTTGGCCAGGCTGGAATGCAGTGGCACGATCTTGGCTCACTGCAACCTCTGCCTCTTGGGTTCAAGCTATTCTCCCATCTCAGCCTCCTGAGTAGCTGGACTACAGGTGCCTGCCACCACGCCTGGCTAACTTTTGTGTGTGTGTGTGTGTTTTTTTTTGTTTTTTTTTTGAGACAGAGTCTCTCTCTGTCGCCAGGCTGGAGTGCAGTGGCGCAATCCCGGCTCACTGCAACCTCTGACTCCCTGGTTCAAGTGATTCTCCTGCCTCAGCCTCTCGAGTAGCTAGGATTACAGGCATATGCCACCACGTCCAGCTAATTTTTGTATTTTTAGTGGAGCCGGGGTTTCACCATGTTGGCCAGGATAGTCTCAATCTCCTGACCTCGTGATCTGCCCGCCTTGGTCTCCCAAAGTGCTGGGATTACAGGTGTGAGCCACAGCGCCCGGCCTCTTTTTTGTGTTTTTAGTAGAGATGGGGTTTCACCATGTTGGTCAGGCTGGTCTCGACCTCCTGACCTCAGGTGATCCACCCACCTCGGCCTCCCAAAGTGCTGGGATTACAGGTGTGAACCACTGCGCCTGGCCTCAATTTTTATACTTTCAGTAGAGATGAGGTTTCATCATGTTGACCAGGCTGGTCTTGAACTCCTGACCTCAAGTGGTCTGCTCGCCTTGGCCTCCTAATGTGCTGGAATTACAGGCATGAGCCACTGTGCCTGGCCGCCATTCTCTATGGGTCAGGGTGAGAGGCCTGGAAAGGGGCAGAGTAGGGTGGAGGATATTGTGGGCAGGGAAGCTTACAAAGTCTTCTGTTGGAAGAGCCCACCAGACTGTGGAGGGGAAGCCTCTCTTTGGGGCACAGGGACAGGGCCCCTCACTACCTCCCTCCCATCCCTCTGGTCTGGCCCTTACTACAGCCTCCATCGATGCTTCTCCTGCCCTCTGTGCCCCTTCCACGGGCTGGGACATGCCTTGGATTCTGATGCTGCTGCTCACAATGGGCCAGGGAGTTGTCATCCTGGCCCTCAGCATCGTGCTCTGGAGGCAGAGGGTCCGTGGGGCTCCAGGCAGAGGTGAGTCCCTCCCTCCCCGGGGAAAGAAGAGGGCACATGGGTGGGAGGCAAAGGGCTAGGCTCACACCCTGCCTCTGTACCCCACCTCCTCTAGGGGAGGGGGCGAGGAACACGGCTCTAAGTTGTCTGCTGACTTCTCTTCTGTATCCCTGATGGCTCCTTCTCCCCAGATGCCTCGATTCCTCAGTTCAAACCCGAAATCCAGGTCTATGAGAACATCCATTTGGCCCGTCTTGGGTGAGGAACAGCTAGGGAACAGAGGCTTAAATCCTGGAGGGGACTGGGGATGGAGAGGAAACACGGGTTGGGTTGGGGATGGGCCCTCGTTCCTGAGGATGTGAAAAGTAGAGGTATCCTTAATCTGTCTCTCTGGAAAACCCCACAGCCCACCTGCCCACAAGCCCAGGTGATTTTGGTGACATCTGCTGGGAAGTGTGACCTGCTGTCTCGCTGGCCATCTGGCACCTGGAAGATTCCTCGACAACCTTAGCAAGGGGGGCGGGACTGAGAGTTCGACTTCACCATCCAGCTGGCCTCCAGCAGCCACCAAGCTGTGTATGGGGAGGGGTGGGGGACTGAAGGAAAGGAGGAGCATTATTCTGTGATGTAACCTACAAAAAGGTTTGGTCTCCTGTCTTGTAGCAGCAGTGGAGGGATGGCCCTGAGCCCATAGTACTGTGGGGTTGAGGGGAGCCTGAGGTTGCTGGTGGGGGCAAGGAGGATGGGTGTGCACAGGGAGGAGACAGGAATCTGGAGACTTGAGCAATGGTGGGGAATCCATTGCAGTGGAGCTGAAGGACAAATGGGGAAAACGGGGGAAGAGAGAGAAGGGAAGAGACTCAAGTCAGAGAAAGTGGAAAGAGATGGACAGAGGGAGAAAAATAGAAGCACAAAGTGGGAGGATGGAGGGACAGAGAAAATGGAAAGCCTCAACCCATCTCTAAATTAAGCCAGACCCCCACTACCCCATGTCTCATCCTCACAAAGAAGAGAGGGAACAGGCATATTTAATCAACCCCAGACTTCCTCACATGCAAGGGGAGGGAACTGAGTCAGGATAGAGATGCCTGTGCTCAGCTCCCACCCGGGGCCCCCTCCTTATCCTTCCTTATCCTAGGCACACACTCTTCCCTGTGGCGCCTTACCGGGGCATTCAGAGCATGTGAGCAGCTATCGCCACTCTGGCACTTCCTTCCTGCTGCCCTGAGGTCACACCCTATTTCTCGGGGGCAGAGGGAGTGTCTACTCAGGCTGGCAGGCCCAGTGGGGGTATGTTATTTATTGGGCCGGGGCCATGCTGGGATGTCTGTGAACCATGGGCGAGTCTGGGCTGGTGAAGCGAGGGAGGGTATTGATGCTCCCAACTTGGCCATTCCCTAGTCTCAGGCAGAAATGAGCTGAGCTCCAGCCACACCCTCACAAGCAGCTCCACTGGGTG
Organism: Homo sapiens; assembly: GCF_000001405.40. Lineage (NCBI taxonomy): Eukaryota > Metazoa > Chordata > Mammalia > Primates > Hominidae > Homo > Homo sapiens. The sequence goes on from NT_167248.2 coordinate 2,967,438, forward strand.
CCCTTTTGTGTCTCTGCTCAAGCTTGGGCCTTACTGGAAAAAAGCTTTCTCAGAAGTCTCACCTAAAGCCTTCAGGCTGCAGGGGCTTAAACTAAGCCATTGGCAAGAAAAAGGACGAAAATGACACAGATGGAGAATGAGGGGAGTGCCGTGGTCCAGGTTCCAGCTCCAGCCCAACCCACCAAGCAGCTACAGTTTGCTCTTAGAGCACACACACACAGACACACACACACACACACACACACACACACACACACACACTGCAGTATCTGCAGTATTACTGGACTCCTAGATAGACCTTTTATTAAAGGTACTCTTCATAGTCCCCCAAGCCCTCCATCCTGAGTTCCCGACCTACCACATTAGTCTTTCCTAGCAAGACTCTCCTCCTTACCATACCTGATGCTCCTTTGATCCCCTTGCCTGAGATCCACAGTGTCATCAAAATGCCTGCCTTGCCAGTGACCTGGGCTGACACGGGGCATCAGCAATGGGCATCTAGAAAAGACAAAAGACGCAGAATAGGTGTTCTTTATGAGGTTGGACTCTGGGCAGGTGCCTCCCCAGGCCTTGTGAGGGGTCTGTGAGGGGTCTGCTGAGAGATCTGGGGTCTCTGTACAAAATTAGGTTCTCGGGCATGTCTCAAAGTGTCTGTGCAGGTGTTTCCAGGGCCGCAGTGATGGCGGGGGGTATCCTGGGTTGGGGGCTGCAGATCCACGGAAGCTAGTGGAGGAGGTGTCCTCTCCCAGCGAAGCTGGCCACAAAGAGGGGCAGGGAGGCGAGGAGGCTGGTGAGCTGCTGTGGGGAAGCGGCTATGTTGCACAGGTCCTGCTCGCAGCAGTGGTGCCACAGAGTGTAGGAGTGCAGCCAGTAGGTGGCATAGCCTGGCAGAGGGCACTGGGCCCTTGAGAGGCAGCTTTTTCACTCAGTGATCTCACTCTGGTCTGTGGGATGAAAGAGGCATGCTGAGGCGGGGGCCACAGGAAAGGCCGGATGGATGGAGGTAGGGAGCCTCCTGGAGAAGGGCCATTGGACCAGAGTCCTACCTGAAGTGCCAATACTGATGCCACAAGCTTCATCGTCCCGACACTCGGTGGGAACAGGGTGGCAGGGTTTGGTGAAGCCACAGATGTAGCAGCGGAGCCTTCCCCGGGCAGGGGACATGGTGAGACCTGTTGAGGCAGCAGAGATTAGGAGAGCAGGAGAGGCAAACCCTCCCTGTGGGGCAGGCAGAGGCCAGATCCGGAGAGGGATCACAGAGAGAGGTGACACATGAAGCAGAGAGAGGAAAGCTGTGGAATAAGGGAGGAAAGCTGACAGAAGTAGAAAAAATAGCTGGGCGCAGTGGCTCACGCCTGTAATCCCAGCACGTTGGGAGGCCGAGGCGGGCTGATCATGAGGTCAGAAGATTGAGACCATCCTGGCTAACACAGTGAAACCCCGTCTCTACTAAAAATACAAAAAATTAGCCGGGCATGGTGGCACATGCCTCTAGTCCCAGCTACTTGGGAGGCTGAGGCAGGAGAATCTCTTGAATCTGGGTGGCTGAGGTTGCAGTGAGCCGAGATCATGCCACTGCACTCCAGCCTGGGTGACAGAACGAGACTCTGTCTCAAAAAAAAAGAGGGAGACGATGCAGGAAAAGAAACAGAGATGGAGGCAAGAGGGGTACAGGGATTGAGAGATGCGCAGACATGAACAGAAGCCACAAGAATCAGAGACCAACATAAAAAGAGTGAGACAAAAAGCCAGACCCAGCAGCAGGAAAGTTGAGGGGGTCAGTGAAAAAGTTAAGTAAATGGCACCAGAGACAGATAGGAAAATAGAAATTGACATTGACCAAAGGGCCCAGCACAGAAGCAACACGTGAAATAAGGGATAGGGGAGACAGGGGCGGATCAAAGATGCAGCAAGGGGGAGACAGTTATTCTCAAATGCCTTGAAAGGAAACTCTTCCTTTCCCACCTCATCAGGCTGGCCTTCCCAGTGGCTGGTCTCCCTGAAGTCCCCCACTCCCCCAGCTCTCTTCTTGGCCTCTTCCAGCACCCACACCCCTCTCCTCCCCAGCCCTCAGGTTCCTCCACATGCCCTTGTCCCCACCCCCAGCCCCCTGACCACTGAAGGTTCCCCAGCCCACCCTTACCCAGTGCCCCACAGAGGAACAGCACGCAGAGGAAGATGCTGGAGGTGCCCATGGCCAGACACAGGCTCAGGAATCTGGGAGAGGTGATCTGCACCCCGAGATCCCGGGATTTGTAGAGTTGGAGCATTTGAGCAAGACAGTGAGGAACCAGTAAACAAACACACCTAGGGAGTGAATCTGGGGGGCGGAACCATGACCAGATTCACCAGCCTGACCCAGCAGGCAGCGGGGGCCCCCAGCCTGCCCCTGCAAGGAGTCTGCCCTTGCCTGGAGGGTCTCCTCTGCTCTCTCAGCATGTTGTCTCTGTAACTTAGCTTCCTCTCCTGCTCCTGAGTTGTGTCTGTCGCCTTCCCTCCTACTCCTCCCCCTCCCTCCCCATGTCTCAAGCTGCTCCCTGGCTCTCTCAGCTTCTCTCTGTCTTTGTTTTCTCTGTCTTTCCCCCTCAGTGCTTTCATGTCTCTCAAAGTCACCCTCCTAAACAGCCCCGGCGTGGATCTGTTTGAGTGTAGAATCAACAATACCCCCACCCACACACCCACATGCACACACAAAGCCCAGCTGTGTAAGGGCGGACCCCACCCAGCTTCAGATCCCTTTGATCCCCCCAAGCTTCAACATTCCTACCCTGTAATTATCCCTGCCAGCTTTACTACCTTGGAGGAAAGAAATAACCACGGGTGGGGCTGGAGGGCCTGCTGATGTGCTTGCACTGGGGAGAAATCACTAGAAAGGAAGGCATGGATGGGATTTGGGGTAGGGGGGTGGTGATACAGCCTGGAAGGCTGGGGTTGAAGAGACTGGGAAGGAGGAAGGCCCATCTGGGGAATCAGAGCCAGCATGTACCAGGAGGAGTAAGACTAGGAACAGGGAGTGAAGATAGGGGAGACACAGGTGCCCAGGAGAGCAGCTCTTTTCAAAAATATTGATCTCAGGACCTCTTTACACTTTTCAAAGTTACTTAAGACTCTGAAGAGCTTTTCTTTATGAGGTTATATCAATATTTACTACATTAAAAATTAAAACAGAAAATTTAAAGTAGGTATTTATTGATTTATTTAAACAATAAAAATAATAAAGTATTACATGCTAACAAAATACAGTTTTGTGAAAAATAACTATTATTTCTCCACAGCACAGTGAGAAGCTGAGCATTGCTTTACATTTTTGTGAATCTAGTGTCAGGCTTCGTGGGAGATGCCTGGGTTTTCCTATCTGCTTCTGCATTCAGTCTGTTGGGATATGTTGTTTTCGTTGAAGTCCAGTATATGAAGAAAATCTGACCTTACACAGATAGTTGCAAAAGGAGGACCCTCAAGGACCCTGTGAAAGGGTATCAGGGATCCTCAGGGGTTCTTGTTGGTCCACAGACTGCTGCTGAGGATAAAGGAGTTTGAGGACTCCAGAGGATGCTGAGAGCATGCTGTGGGGCCCCTCCCTGTCCCCACTGGGGCCCTTGGTGCCTGCTGGGGGAGACTCTTTCTTCCTTTTTTATAGCCCTATAAAGCTCAAGGCACGGGGGATATAAGGCAGGCAGAGCCGGGCTGGGGAGGGGGGTGGGCAGGAGGTAGAGGCGGTCCTGACACGGGCAGACTGCGATGAAACCCCAGTTTGTTGGGATCTTGCTCAGCTCCCTGCTAGGGGCTGCCTTGGGTAAGGAGGCGGCCAGCTAGCTTCTCACACAGGCCTTCTGCCAGCCGGCTCCACCGAGGGCCCAGGTCCAGCGCCTCTTTTCTCCTGCCAGGAAACCGAATGCGGTGCTACAACTGTGGTGGAAGCCCCAGCAGTTCTTGCAAAGAGGCCGTGACCACCTGTGGCGAGGGCAGACCCCAGCCAGGCCTGGAACAGATCAAGCTACCTGGAAACCGTGAGTCCTCAGTTTCTCCCTCTTCCAGCAGCCTTTCCCTGCCTCCAGCCCCATGTCAATCCTTCTGGCTTCCAGAACCCTCCAGGCTCAGTCTGGCTCTGGGCAGATGGTGCAGCTGTTAGAGGAGAGCAGTCTGTACCCCTTCTGGCTCCTGGCACGGAGCCCCTGAGAGGCCCACAGTCCTTGTGCCCCCACTTCCCCACCTCCTTATTCTCCTAAAAGAATCTCATAGGCCCATTAGCTCACAAATGAAGAGCTCTGGCCCTGAAAGGCCAAAGTTAAAACCAAACTTCAAATTTTCGGCATTAGTTAAGGACCAGGGAGGGGTGTGTGTGTGTGTGTGTGTGTGTGTGTGTGTGTACATGTTTTTAATATTTTATTTTAACATAATTTTGGATTGACAGAAAAGTTGCAGAAATACTCAACTTCTCCTAATGCTAACATCTTACATAACCATAGCACAATTATCAAAATCACAAAATAACTGATACAATACTACTAACTAATCTACAGACTTTATTTGATTTAGCAAGATCCTACATTGCATTTAGCTCTCATGTCTTCTTAGTCTCCTCTGATCTGTGCCAGTTCTGTTTTTCTTTGTCTTTCATGACCCTGACACATTTGAAGAGCCCTGATAAATTATTTTATACCTGGAGTTTAAAAAATTACTTTTAGGGCCAGTGCAGTCACTCGCACCTGTAATCCCAGCACTTTAGGAGGCCAAGGTGGGAGGACCACTTGAGCCCAAGAGTTGAGACCAGCCTGGGCAACATAGGGAGACCCTGTCTCTACAAAAAACAAACAAACAAACAAACAAACAGATTAAAAAATTAGTTGGGTGTGGTGGCACATGCTTGTAGTCCTAGCTACTCAGGGGGCTGAAGAGGGAGGATCGCTTGAGCCTGGGAGATTGAAGCTACAATGAGCCATGATCACGCCACTACACTCCAGCCTGGGGAACAAAATGAGACCCTGTCTCAAAAATAATAATAATAATAATTTTTAGGCTAGGCTTGGTGGCACACACTTGTAATCCCAGCACTTTGGGAGGCCAAGGCTGAAGAGTCACCTGAGGTCAGGAGTTTGACACCAGCCTGGGCAGCAAAGTGAGACCCCCATCTCTACAAAAAATGTTTTTAAAAAATTAGCCAGGCATAGTGGCACACACCTGTAATCTCAGTTTCCTGAGAGGCTGAGGCAGGAGGATTACTTGAGCCCAGGAGTTTGAGGCTATAGGGAGGTATGATTGCACCACCACACTCCAGCCTGAGTGAGAGAGCAAGATCTTTTCTCTAAAATTAAATAAAATCATTTTTAGATTAAACAAAAATTACGTGCCGGATGCAGTGGCTCACGCCTGTAATCCCAGCACTTTGGGAGGCCAAGGCGGGTGGATAACCTGAGGTCGGGAGTTCAAGACCAGCCTGATCAATGTGGAGAAATCTCGTCTCTACTAAAAATACAAAATTAGCCGGGTGTAGTGGTGCCCGCCTGTAATACCAGCTACTCGGGAACCTGAGGCAGGAGAATTGCTTGAACCCAAGAGGTGGAGGTCGCGGTGAGCCGAGATCACACCATTGCACTCCAGCTGGGCAATAAGAGTGAAACTCCGTCTCAAAAAAAAAAAAAAAATTACAGATACTTGAAATACTAAAAATTATTTTATAGAATGTCCCTCGATATTTATTTATCTGATATTTGCCATGATGAGATTGAGGTCATGCATTTTAAGCAAGAATACTGCAGAAGTGATGTTGCATCCTTCTTGCTGCATCACATCAGGAGTTTACAAGGTCAATGCATTAACTTTGATCACTTGGTTTCAGGGAGGTGTTTTTTGAGGGGGCTGAAAATCCCTTTGGGCTCCTTGAAATCACATCTGCTCTGCCCCAGAAGGCAAGTCCTGAAGCCAGGAGTCCAACACCCCAGTTTCATTCTCTCTCTCAGCCCCAGTGACCTTGATTCACCAACATCCAGCCTGCGTCGCAGCCCATCATTGCAATCAAGTGGAGACAGAGTCGGTGGGAGACGTGACTTATCCAGCCCACAGGGACTGCTACCTGGGAGACCTGTGCAACAGCGCCGTGGCAAGCCATGTGGCCCCTGCAGGCATTTTGGCTGCAGCAGCTACCGCCCTGACCTGTCTCTTGCCAGGACTGTGGAGCGGATAGGGGGAGTAGGAGTAGAGAAGGGAACAAGGGAGCAAGGGAACAAGGGACATCTGAACATCTAATGTGAGAAGACAAACATCCTTCTGTGAGTCATTAAAATCTATGAACCACTCTACAGCTGACTGGAAAATTACATCTATCTTTGGTTGATGGGAGGGCTAAAAGCGTAATATGGGGCATCCAGGTTCTAGTTTGGGGGTTACCAAGCAACAGCGGGCTTAATTACAGTGGTGCACTCCTTAACCAACTAAACCCCAAAGGGCAATGGCTTATCTGCCTTCTGTGGCTCCTGGATCCTGTTGCTGGGTTGAATCTTCCTTAGCAATGAGATTCATTGAGTGGGGTTGCCAGGGTTTTGTGAGCATGAGTCTGGGTTTGCTCCCCTATTTCCCATTTGCAAGTTGGCTCCCAATAGGACTATTTTGAATTGAGAAAAGAAATGTAAAAACTGTGATAGGTAAAAACTGCTTGATGCCCTACTTACTAACTAGGCTAGGTGAGGCCTTTGACTCTAACCTGAGAGAAACTGAAGAAACAGGGTCTCAGGCCCCATCTCCATGTACCTCTCCTATCCTTTCTGGAGAGCCCTCAAGCCAGGCCGCACCTTCTTCTTGGCAATACATCAGGGGTGTGGCCTAAATTTAGGATATGAGTTGTTGTGTGCCACCTGGAGACACTGGAAGGGAGGATGAAGACCTGAAAAACCTGTTTCTCCATTTTCCCCAGCCCAGCCTCCCAGGGAACCTCCCTGAAGGATTCCTGTGTAAGGGAGGGAGATTGAGAGTATTATTTCCTGGGAGGTGACCTGACCCTTAGGTCTTCTTATAATAAATGTACATTTTATCAGACTCAGACATTTATTACTCAAAATGGAAAGAGGTGAGTATGGGGGATGGGGTACATATGGGAGCCTGGATTTGGGGAGTCAGCTCTGTACAGTGAGGTCATCAGGTCCTTGTGGGAGCCTTCACTGGGGACAACACAGAAGCCCCATTTCAGGCCCAGATCCCAATCCCTCCTCAAGTAGGGGACAGCAGAGTATAGGAAGCAAAGTGGGGAGCCCTTCTAGGAGCCAATGGAGGTCCTGGAAGGAAGTGGGAAGGGACCCAGAAAAAGGAGAGTGAAGGGTGTGAGGTGGGAAGGATGGATGAGGAGACCACTCGGAACAGTGTTTAATTAAAGAAATGGGAGCTAGGGAGAGACGATTCTGTAAAGCCAGGGGATACAGAGACACAGGGAGAGAGGCTCAGGCCAAGGCAGGTGGGAGGAGGGGCAGCCAATGGAATGAGTCTCAGTGCAGCAGCCAGAGGCCAAGGCCAGCCAAGGAGGTAAGGAAGACAAGGCCCAGGGCTGGAGTGGGCCGGGGTCCTGCGCTGTTGCAGTTGTCCTTGTTGCAGCAGGTGGTGTTATATGTCAGACCCAGCTTACGGTTGGTTTGGTTGAAGGCCTCCTGACAGGGCTCTTCTGGTGTGCCACAGCGCAGATTGGAGAAAACCCACATCTTACCTAGGGGTGGGAATGGGCAGGGAATCGGCCAGGATGGGCACCTGGCATGCCTGTGTCCACCTCCCCACCCCATCCACCCACCTAGGCTTCCTTCCTTCCCAACTCTGTCCCTGGCCCTCCCCTTCTCTTTTCTTAGTCTGATCTTCCTTCTGCACATCCTTACCCACCACTCCCCCAGTCCTGGTTCTATCACTTGCTGGCCATGGACCTGTTACTGTCTCTGTTTTTTGTTTTTTTGTTTTTTCCAAGACAGAGTCTCACTCTCGCCCAGGCTGGAGTGCAGTGGTGCCATCTCAGCTCACTGCAACCTCCGCCTCCCAGGTTCAAGCGATTCTCCTGCCTCAGCCTCCCGAGTAGCTGGGATTACAGGCGCCCACTACCATGCCTGGCTAATTTTTGTATATTTAGTAGAAATGGGGTTTCACCATGTTGGCCAGGCTGGTCTTGAACTCCTGACCTCAAGTGATCCAACCACCTTGGCCTCCCAAAGTGCTGGGATTACAGGCATGAGCCACCATGCCCGGCTGTGTTACTGTCTCTTTTTGAGGCCGTTTTCTCAGTATAATAATAGCACCCACATCACAGGGTTGTCATGAACATTAATTGAAAAAAAGGCATGCAAAGACATAGGATGTTGCCTGGCACACAACCATCTTTGGCCAAATATTATCATTGCTATAATCCTCTGCTTCTCCATCTCAGTCTTAGACCCATTTGGGCCTCAGTCCTGGTCATAGAGGCTCCCACCTCCCTGTTCACCCCACTAAGGAAGGGGATGTTACCAAGGTATGCATGTGTTGTCAGGCATTGCTGTCCTGGCTCCAGGCGGCAGGACTGCCGGTCCACACAGCCCAGCACAGGGACCTTGTAGCAGGAGTGACAGCGAATGTCAGCTGGGAAGACACAAGTCAGGCTGAGGTGATGGGGTCTCTGACTTACCTGGGGATAAGCTGAGCTGGGGGCAGGGGTGGAGGGTGGAGAAGAGCCCATCCCGTAGGTGCTCCAACCTGTTTGGCTGTTTGGTCTAGCAAGCACAGAGCAGGTGAGTGATGCAGGGAAAATGGAAAGTGGGCGGCAGGTAAGGGTAGAGCTGTTGCTTTGTGAAAGGCCCATGCCCTACATATCTTCCGTCACTCCACCCCGTTTGGAGGTGAGTCAAGAGGGACAGAACTATGAAGAAAAACATGGGGCTGGAGATAGATGGAATGTGAGGAAGATACCATGGGGAAAGAATGTGGATGGTGAAGGAGGAGATGGAAACTTGAAAGAAGGAGAAATAATAAAAATGAAAATCATGAGGGTTACAACACTGTCAGAAATGCCTTGGAACTTGAGGCTGGCGAGAAAGCCATCTGTGGCCAGCTTTAGCAATTTACAATTTACTCTTCACCTCCTGGAGCTGGCAAGAGTGTGGCAAGAGGAACCAGACCTGAATAGAATCCTCTCACCCCAGTAGCTCTTCAGCAGAAAGGAATGATACCTGAGAGACAGATCACCAGATTCCATCTTAGCACCTTATCAAAATGGAGAGGGTGGATACAGAAGGTGGCACCCCAAGTTTCCTGCTTCAGTTAATTCAAGGTTTGGGCAGGCAAGATTTGGTGACGCAGGGTCCGAGGGTGGAAGAGCCTGGTAAGTGTACCTCAGTGAAATCCACTTCACCCTGGAGGTAAGTGGCCCAGTTGTCCCCTCTTCAGAAGGCTCAAGAAAACGCTCTGTTTCCATGGAGGCTCTTAGATGTCACTGCAACCATCTAGAAAGTTTGTATCCCCTGTATGGGAGGAGGTATGCAACCCAGGAGGGGAGTAGGGGGTATCTAGGAAAGGCCATGGCTGAGAGACTGAACATGTGAGTCCCTGATGGAGTAGATGGGGAGGGTAGGTTACAAAAGGAGCCTGGGGCTGGATGCCTAGGTCTTCGAGAGGACACCTTACTGAGCACAGCAGATAGAGGAGAAGGCAGGTAAGCTAGACTCTGGAGAGTTGCATATTGAAGTGGGGCTGGTTGGGGAACTGGATACCAGAGTTTCCAAGGAGGAGACACCTTGGAGTGGGGAACAGGGGACCCAGAGCCCTGGCAGGTGAGAGAAATGGGTCTTTCTTGGAGGTGGGGAGGATGGATGGAGACCTGGCTTTTTGAGAAATAGAGCAAGGAGGCTGTCATAGGGAAGCCTGGTCTTGGTGGCACAGGAGAGCTGAGCCAGTTGGGGCTGGGGGTGTTGGGATCCCGAGTGGTGGGTAGGGCCGGGAAGTGGGTAGAGCAGGGTGTAAAGGTCCTGACCAGGCAAACCAGGTCTTTGGGGCCCCCAGGTGCTCACCTGAGACCCAGCAGAGCAGAACAGACAGGGTGAGCAGCATAAGGGCTTTCATGGCGAGGGTCCTGAGAATGGTGGCAACCACAGCAGCTGATAGAGTAGATTTTCAAGGATCCAGCTCTAGGAGTTGAGTGGCCTTTTTGGAATTTATAAACCCAAAGGCTCCTCCCTTCCCTGCCTCTGGTAGCCCCTCCCTTCTCACTTACTACGCAGCTGACCAGAGAAAAGACAAGGGGTGGGAAGGCACTGAGCAGGACTGAGTGGGGAGTAGGGATGGGAGAGAGGGATGGGGGAAGGCAGGTGCCACTAGTGGCCAATGCCATTGTGGTTCTTGGTTTCAGGCCAAGATGCCCTTCCTGGTCCCCAGCTAAGAGTCCTGCTGCTCAGTCCTCTGAATGAGCATCATCAAAGGCCTCTGTGATTTACAGTGTCCATGGTGGCAGCTTCTGCTGGTTCCTGGAAAATGGACAAAAGGATGTGGCCCAAATTAATTGCTGAATTTGGGTCCCTGGGTCCCTGCTGGGCATTGATAGGGGCATGCTGGTGGAAATTGGGGGAGGAATGGGTCAAATTAATCTCCATTCAGCCCCCACTCGGTCTTTCCAATACCTGCTCAGCAATAAGTGACTCACTGATGGCTTCTGTGATGCCACAGCAGCAGAGGCAGGGGCTGGGGCTACTCATCCAGGAGAGCCACCACAGGTCTGCTAAGTAGGGCTGCCTCAGGCTCCCATGAAGGTTCTCAGGATGTCACCCGTGCTCCACTTGCGCTTGGTGTGGCCTTGTTGCTCCAGTCCAGCAGCAGCAATTGTCCTAGGTGTGGCTGTGTGCACCTGCTCCAAAGCACCTCCCCAGTCAAAACCTGCCAACTTGGGCAGGGTACCAAGCCAGGAGGAACAGCATGGGCACAGAGAGGTGAGGTAGAAGCTAAAATAAGAATAGAAATAGTAGGCCGGGTGTGGTGGCTCACACCTGTAATCTCAGCACTTTGGGAGGCCGAGGTGGGTGGATCACAAGGTCAAGAGATCGAGACCATCCTGGCCAACATGGTGAAACCCCATCTCTACTGAAAATACAAAAATTAGGTGTGGTGGCATGCACCTGTAGTTCCAGCTACTCAGGAGGCTGAGACAGGAGACTCACTTGAATCCAGGAGCCGGAGGCTGCAGTGAGTCGAGATTGCACTCCAGCCTGGCCACAGAGCAAGACTCTGACTCAAAAAAAAAAAAAAAAAAAAAGAATAGAAATAGTAATAATAATGGCAAGCACTTACATAGTGATCCTATGTATTCTAAGCAGTTTACATGTATTACTTTATTTCGTTATCACAATCCCCTACAAAACAGGAGTTTTTGTTGTTGTTGTTTTTGAGACAGGGTCTGGCTGGCTCTGTCGCCCAGGCTGGAGTGCAATGGCCTGATCACAGTTCACTGCAACCTCGACCTCCTGAGCTCAAGCGATCCTCCCTCCTCAGCCTCCTAAGTAGCTGGGATTACAGGCGCACCTGAAAAGTTAAGCAGGCCAAAGCATTTGTGTAAATGGCCCGAGCACACATTTTAAGTGAGAACCATTTGAAGACTCCGAGTTTGCCTGCGAGGATTCCCAAAGGGATCTGGGCAGCTGGTGGCCCCGCCCCCTCTCTTATCGGAGCCCCCCAGCCCCTCCGTTCTCCCCACGCCTAACTTCCCTCCGGTCCCCCCCCAACCGGCCCCACGCCGCTGATTCGCTCGCAGCTTCTCCTCACCACATCCTAACCATGGCTGTGTTTCTGCAGCTGCTACCGCTGCTGCTCTCGAGGGCCCAAGGGAACCCTGGGGGTAAGCGATCCCTGGGAGAGTTGTGATAGACGCAGAGGGGCTGAAGCAAGATAAGGGCCGCCTAGTAGGGTGGGTTGTGTGTGGGAAGATCCAGGATGGCTGGAGTGCAGAACAGAGAAGAGAAAGAGGAGACGGGATGGAGGGTCGTCTTGCCCTGTGGACGTGCCCTAACCACAGCCTCCGGCCTCTCCTAGCTTCTCTGGACGGCCGCCCTGGGGACCGGGTGAATCTCTCCTGCGGAGGAGTCTCTCATCCCATCCGCTGGGTCTGGGCACCCAGCTTCCCGGCCTGCAAGGGCCTGTCCAAAGGACGCCGACCGATCCTGTGGGCCTCTTCGAGCGGGACCCCCACCGTGCCTCCCCTCCAGCCTTTCGTCGGCCGCCTACGCTCCCTGGACTCTGGTATCCGGCGGCTGGAGCTCCTCTTGAGCGCGGGAGACTCGGGCACTTTTTTCTGCAAGGGCCGCCACGAGGACGAGAGCCGTACAGTGCTTCACGTGCTGGGGGACAGGACCTATTGCAAGGCCCCCGGGCCTACCCATGGTAGGTGCAGGCCTGTGCGCACAAGGGTACTTAACTCCGACACATACCCGGAGGAGGGAAGAGGGCCTTGGCTGGGGGTTCTTGAGCGGGACTGCTGGCTGTCCCTCGTCAAACCCCTGACCTCAGCATCCCTCCCCGCCACGCCTTTCCCCCAGGGTCCGTGTATCCCCAGCTCCTGATCCCGCTGCTGGGCGCTGGGTTGGTGCTCGGACTGGGAGCTTTGGGCCTGGTCTGGTGGCTGCACAGGTGAGCAGGAGGGACCCGGCCTCGTTAAATGGGGAGTGACCAGAGGTGGAAGGGGCAGGACCAGAACCTTCGCAAAAGAAAGAGCTAGACCTAGAGCTCTGGTCCTGGCTTGGCGAAGAATGGGAGAGGTCAAAGGTGGGAGCGAGGCCGCTGGCTGGTGAGTAGAGCCCCACCAGAGCAGATGAGCTGGAAGTGCAGCAGAGTTAGAGCCTGGGCTGGACTGTCGGTGGGGTAGAGTCTAAGTTGTTTCCGGTCTGAGCCTTCAAGTTGCTGGGCTGTCCTTGGCGTGGCGAGTCCCAGGAGAACCAGTGAGACAAGACTGGTGGTTCTCAAAGACTCATATGTCCCTTACAGGCGCCTGCCCCCGCAACCGATTCGACCACTCCCTAGATTTGGTGAGACTAATTCCACCCCATTTTCTTTCTCCTACATGCCCACTCCCCACCCCTCAATTCCTGAGTCTGAGCCCTTGCTGGGAGCAGACACGTTGGTCACCTTCTCTCCATCCTTCAGCTCTGTCCCCCCCACATAGCTCCACTTGTGAAAACCGAGCCCCAGAGGCCAGTAAAGGAGGAAGAGCCCAAGATTCCAGGGGACCTGGACCAGGAACCGGTAAGGGCATGGGGATGGGAAGGGGATAGCCAGAATCTCTGAGGAAAATGGACCAAAAAAAAAAAGGCCTGAACCCCAAGGAAGACTGTGGAGACCATCTTGTCTTCCTCCCCTTCCTCCTCCAGAGCCTGCTCTATGCGGATCTGGACCATCTAGCCCTCAGCAGGCCCCGCCGGCTGTCCACAGCGGACCCTGCTGATGCCTCCACCATCTATGCAGTTGTAGTTTGAAGGGAAGCCCTTACTCCAAACCTCCCAAGCTAGGGGATCCCAGCTCCCCATAATCCCTCTCCCCTCCTTGGTTCCTCACCTGGAAGAGGAAGGCACCATGGTATAGAAATAAGTGCTAGACTGGGAGTTGGGAGACCTGGGTTCCAGGCTGTCTCTGCCACTGGTCTTACTTCTAAACTTACTCCCATCTCTCCTATAACCTCCATGTCTCCCTCACCACCAGTGTCCTCTCTATACCCAATCAAGCCCTAGCTCCTTTTTTTTTTTTTTTTGAGACGGAGTCTCGCTCTGTTGCCCAGGCTGGAGTGCAGTGACACCATCTCCCTCACTGCAAGCTCCGCCTGCCGGGTTCACACCATTCTCCTGCCTCAGGCTCCTGAGTAGCTGGGACTACAGGCGCCCGCCACCACGCCCAGCTAATTTTTTGTATTTTTAGTAGAGACGGGGTTTCACTGTGTTAGCCAGGATGGTCTTGATCTGCTAACCTCGTGATCCACCCGCCCCGGCCTCCCAAAGTGCTAGGATTACAGGTGTGAGCCACCGCGCCCGGCCTGATTCTTTAAGCTGTTTTTCTTTGTTGCTGGTGTTTTCTTTTTGGACTCCTCTTCCTTGCTCCATATCCCTACAGTATTTCCCACCATTCTAGGTTTGTCCCTTTCTCTTCTTCTGGGACACTCTCATCAACAGTCAGTCCTCAGCCCCCTCCTCTGCAAATGACACTCAGAACTCTCTCTGGCTCAGATCTCAGATTTGGGATTAACAAACTTCCACTTAGACATTCTGCCTGACTGACCTCAGGCATTTCGCACTCTGAATGTCAAACCCAACTCATTGTCATCTCTGAAGCTGCTCACTTAATTCTCCTCTGTATTCTCTTTAACAACCCAGTTGCCCAACCCAGAAACTGGGAGTCACGCAGACCTCCTTTCTCTCTTACTCCCACACAATGAGCCATGAAGTCCAGTCTTTCTATCTTAACATCACTGTCAAACCCACACTGTATTCCATGCCCAGCGCTGCCACGTGAATGTACTCTGCTCACTTCCTTCCTGGATTACCCATAGCCCCACCTCATCCTCCTACCCTTGCTTTCCTCCCTGAAGTCAGAGAGATCCTACTCAAGAGATAACTGCTCCTGACAGCCCTTATTACAGAACTGAAGTACTCTCCTTAGCTTCAGCTCTGTGCCCACGTGCCTTGGCTTTGGATACAAGGTACTACAGCACTTTGTCCACTCTCCAGGCTTACCTGTGTCATTCCACATGCACATCTTAGAAAATGCCAGCCTTAGAGAATTCTCCCTAGCCCCAAAATGTCTTTGCCCAGTGCAATTCCTTCTTCCTGTATTACCCCTTTCCCTCCTTCACACTATCTGCCTGGCTAATTCTTATTTATCCTTAGTTCAAGTATGGCCTTTTCTGGGAAGGTGACCCTCCTTGGCCACCCCTTGCATATACTTTGATGCCCTAGGGCACACCCCCTTTATTTCCCTCATAGAAACAGCCTTCTGTAAATTGTTCCATGACAACCTGTATTTCAATTTGTAAGAAATTTGCATGTACTGTGAGCTCCCCAACGTCAGGAGACTGACCCTTTTGATATCATTGCTAAGCCTCATTAAATGAATGAATGAAAATGAATGTCCCTGGAAGTGTCATTTCTTTTTCTTTATCAAATAGGGGTGGACTGGTAATCTACCAGTCTCTGAATCATCTAACATTTAGATAAATTCAGTGAGCAATCCACCCATACACTCTTTTCTCTGCCCTGGACACACTTCCCATGATAGAAATTCTGTCTTGTTCATCTTGTGCTCAAGTACCTATGACATGGTTGGGCAATGAGTTGATAAGTACCTAACAAGATTTTTGAATAAGAGGCCTTCTTCCCTGCACTGACCCCAAACTCAGGTTTCAGCCCTGCCCTATCCCTTTGCCCCAGTAAGACACCAGTCACAGCCCAGTCTAAAAGGTCAATTCTATTTTATTGGTTCTGAGAGGGAGGATTCACCCAGTGGATCCTTTTCCCTACACTCTCCCCTCCCCCAATATTGAGGCTCTCTCCCAACTACTGCCTATTCAGCATTCTCTATCTAACCCTCCTTCCCCTTCTACTTCCTATACTATCCTACCCCTGGCCAGCAGTACCCCAAGGCCAGGCCCTCAGCTGTGGGGGCGTGTGCTGAGCACCAAGCAGAGGGAGCTGAGCCCGGCGCCAGCCTTCTCCAGTTCTGAGCAGGACACAGGTACCAGGGTGACATCAGAGAGCTTCTGCAGTGCCTGCACAGGGAAGACATGGAGTGGGGAGAGGGGAGTGAGACCTCAGGCTGAGCCAGGCCACTCTTCCAGCCAGCTCAGAGTGGCCCCACCCAGGCTTCTAGAGAAGGTACCCTTCCTTCCTCCCACTAGGAAAGCCTGAAACTCTTTTCTCTGATGGTGCTTGGTGTTGGAGTTCCTGCCCTCTCTCACCTCCTGGCTGTTGGGCAGATCCCCACCTCCACGGTGCAGGAGGAAAGGGGGCACACCAGGCAACCCAGGACGAAGAAAGAGACAGTCAGCAGCTGCGTCATCTGGGAGGGTCAGGGAGGCATATGGGTGATCTGTCAGCACTGCCATTGCCTAGAGGAAAGAGGAAGTGTTCGAGTCTCAGAACCTCTCCACAGCTGTGTCTGCCTGCTCAACCACCACTAAGGGCTGGGGACGGACTGACATTTGTGGAAAATAATGACAGCAAGCACATAGAGCTTACGATATGTCAGACACTAAGTACTTTAGTTACCTTTGCTAATTTCCACCTTGGAATCACATGCAGTTATTTTCAACCCCCTACCTTCCCCAGCCCCTCCTATCTGTCCTACCCATCCTTAGAGTCACAGTTTAGGTGCCACCTTTGGGGTTTCCTGAAACTCCGGAAGAGCAAATTAATCA
Organism: Homo sapiens; assembly: GCF_000001405.40. Classification (NCBI taxonomy): domain Eukaryota; kingdom Metazoa; phylum Chordata; class Mammalia; order Primates; family Hominidae; genus Homo; species Homo sapiens. The sequence goes on from NT_167248.2 coordinate 2,983,813, forward strand.
CCCCTGTTCCCAGTCCTGCTGTTGTAACTTCTTATTTTCTCCTGTGTTCTTTCATGTAAGATGGACAGCCCATTGAGGGCAGGGGTTAGGGCTAATTTCCTAAGCCTCCCAGCTCCCGGCCTCCCGGGCCCAGAACTGCGCCCACTTTCGTTGGCCCCGCCCCCTCCTCACCCGGACAGCCTTTTGGGCAGCGTCGCTGCTGCCTGCCACAACAGTGCGAGGTCCCCCCATGCCGCAGAGACCGCGCAGGTGGGAGGGACCCGAGACTGGCACAGTGGAGACGGCGAAGTCCTAGGGAGAGCGAAGGGAGGTATTCAGGGGCGCGGGAGGGGTGATGGGGTATCTTCAAACATAGGCTGCTCTCTGCCTCTCATTTCCTCAGCGGGCGCCCAGGCCCTTCCGACCCCCACCTGCACCCCCTCCCTCCCTAGGCTGGTCCCGCTCCGCACCCGGAACGTGTCCGCCACGATCTCAGCTCCTCGGTGATTGGTCCATTTGGAGAGGCCTACGAAAAACTCCCGGCCTGAGTCCGGGAGGCCGCGGAGGTTTGAGGGCGGGAGTGAGTTAGAAACAAGGCTCCAGACGGCCGAGTCTCCCAAACTCTACTTCCCTGTGCCAAGACCTATGCCTCCCCCCAGCCTCACCGGTGAAGAGAACGTCAGTGCCATCCAGCGTCGCGTTCTCGTCTCCTATTTCCACAATTCGGAGCCCCAGGTCTTGCAGGGCTTTGCGGACTCCATCGACCTTAGGATAGGAGAAGAGGGCACGGAGCTGTGACACCCCCATCCTCAATTCTTCCCCAAAGCCCCGACATCCAGTTCCTTCTGCCTTTCCCCATACCACACCCGCGCCACGGCGCTCACCTCTGGCCTACGAGCGGGGCTCCAGGGCCGCGTGATTAGGGCCGTGTCCCCTTGGATCACGGCCGTGTCGCCAAGCAGCGGTCCCAGCGGCAATGACTCCTCAGGTGGCAGTTCTAGCAGCTGTAGCCCCAGTCGTTGCCTCAGTTTACCTCCCAGCACCCCGTGCTCCCTTTGAGCTTTGGCCAGATCCAGAGCGGGAAGGCCAGCCCCCGCACCTTCCCCCGACGCCAGGCTCTCTGGGACTCCCCGGATCAGGGCATGGGAGCAGCGGCCCAGCCCCTCCCCCGGCGTCCCCATCCCATCCACACAGACTCCCCCTCCAACCGCTCGGATTTCTTAGTTTTCTTGTTTCTTCACCTGTCTGGGAGAAGAAACAGAAAAGGAGGAGACAGAGAAAAAGACATGCAGACAAGGGCGTTGGGGGTGGTTAAGAGCGCCCAGGTCTTCCTCCTGCCATCTCTAGGCGTCCCTCCCACTCCGCCCCACCCACTCCAGACCTTCCGCTCCTGTCGACCTCACTCTACCCAGCACCCTCAGGGGTCAGATTCTTTAAGAGGAGCCTGAGGAACAAGGCTAGGGTCTCTAATCTCCAAAACACCTGTTGCCCCTGCTTGGGGGCTTGTGAGGTCCCTGTCGGGCGCCCCTCTTGGCAGCCACTAGGATGCGCTCACTCCCCAAAAATGCAGCAGCCCCGCCCCCTTAACCCTCAGCTGCTCGCTACCGCAGGGACTGGAAGTCCAGCCCGGGACCCGCAGGGGTTATGGGACAGAAGGAGAAAGCTGGAGAGGCAGGGGCTGGGGAATGGAAGTCCTGAATACCCGAACGAGAAGGGAGAGAGGTGGGTAGGAAGGGAGGAGTTCGAGCCTAAGGAGTTAAGCATCCTCTCTCCGCCCTGGCTGGTCACGCTGCCCCTAGCACGACCTAGTATAAACCAGACCGAGTCCCGAAGGACTGGGAGAGGTCTAAAACGAAATGCGAGGGGCGGGGTAACAGGGGGCGTGGTTCCGGGGCGCTGGCACTACTCCCGGCTCCAGGACCCGGTTCCCCGTCTATGTCCCAAAGTCCACCCCGCCTAGCTCCGCGCCCAAATACCGGCTCCCCATACTCTCTGTCTGGTGCAGGCATGGGCCCGGCACCCCCAAACTCCGGCCCCCACACGGTTCAGGGCCCCCCACGCAAGACTCACCTCCAGCGGCCACCCCCACTCCTGTCGCGCTGTGATCTCGGCTGGGGCCCCACCCCCCGAGGACAGAGTTGGTGGAGAAGGGAGTCCCCGTCTTCAAGCCTCGGGGACTGGGAGCTCTGGCTTTTAGCGGGGGTCCTTGTGTAGGCGAGCTCATATACTACGATGGGGCAGGGGCGCGACGGTCTGGCGGCTCCGGGGCATTGTCTAAGCGGGACGGGGCGGGGCTTCTTCGGGCCACGCCCATTCCGCCCTGCTAAGCCGCGCCCATTACATCCAGACTGCGCCCCCCTTGCCAGAAATCGGCACCGCCCAGCGAGCGCTGCCCAGGCCCACCCAGATCTGGCCGGCCCTGGCGACGGGGCTGCAAACGCTTCGTAGACCTCAGAACAGCGCAACGGCGGACCGGCGGACCGGCACGAAACATAGCAGCCCCACCACAAACATTTCCCTTCTTAATTCCTGGCTTCTGCCCTGAGCTCAAGATCACTGACCCACCCCTCATTCCATGTCGCCCACACTTTAAACCCCCATTGCGTAAAAACACTTGATTTTTATTCTGTATTTTATTACTGAAATATGTTGTCCTACTCATCCCACCCCACAATAAAAATCTGACCCAGGCCCCCCATTTCTTTCCCTCATCCCCTCTTCCACCACACCATCCCGGAACAAGTGCTCCAGGATTCCCTGCCCACTGGCCATTTTGGAGTGTGTCCATTGGGTAGCAATGTGGAAACCACCAGGGCCTTTGTGGAGAAAATGGAGGGGGTTGAGGGAGTCCCAGGAGGGGCTTATTTGAGGGCCTTTGCCACTTGCTCATAGGCGAGCTCGATCTCCTCATCATCTGGACAGGTGGAAGCGAATTCTTCCCGGGCGTAGGCATTGCTCAAGTACCGATGCACTCCCCGGAAGGCCTCGGGGATGGTGAATCCCCGGTACTTCTTACACACCACCTGAGGATGGGGAGAGGAGAGGGACCAACATGTTAGACCCAGGGAAGCCACCTTGGCTTTCCCTTCTCCCCAGGCCGACATGATAAAACCAGCTCAACTCCTCACTGTCTTGTACTGTCGTTAGCCTTCCTTCTCACTTACTGAAATCCTGGCTTTTAATAACCAGCCATTTTTCCTGAGTTTTTAAAACTTGAGATATAATTTACTTATAAAATTCTCCTCTTGAATTTCCACAGTGACTTTTTCCCCCTATACCACTTCAGGCACTGACACAGGTGACTTTTGTCTCTATATTTTTCATCAGACTTTTTTTTTTTTGAGATGGAGTCTTGCTGTCACCCAGGCTGGAGTGCAATGGCGCGATCTTGGCTCACTGCAACCTCCGCCTCCCGGGTTCAAGTGATTCTCCTGCCTCAGCCTCCCAAATAGCTGTGATTACAGGTGCCCACCACCATGTGCGGCTAATTTTTGTAATTTTAGTAGAGATGGGGTTTCACCATGTTGGCCAGGCTGGTCTCGAACTCCTAACCTCAGGTGGTCCACCAGCCTTGGCCGCCCAAAGTGTTGGGATTATAGGCGTGAGCCACCACGCCCGGCCCATCTGACTTTTCATCATATATTCTTAACTTTCATGTGAATATTTTATTGTCTCAGATTTCAACCCTTTGAGAGCAAGGCCCAGTCACCATACACTTGTGTATCTTTCAATGCTTAGTACACAGATGTTCACTACATAGTTGTGTGGCAGACTGATGTCAGGCCCATGTTGCACAAACTAAACCATAGCTTTGAGACTATGACAAAAACATGGGAACCAGCAGTTTTGATCTTCCACAAGAGGAAGTGAAGACTGAAGTTATAAAGAAAGTTAAAGCTTTGACTTTAGGAAAAGCCTGCTCTGTCTAATCTGGGAATTTGGCAGTGATACCGAGACAGGAAGAGCATTCTTCAAAAGTAATACTGGGATGTATTCCTCTTTGCTAGTCTGTTTGCACCCATGACTTACATCATGGAATATAATTATCTCAAGCAGTGGTCTTGTTAGCAATGACTGCTGCAAAGGACTGGGGTGGGGTCTGCCATTGGTAGCAATTTATGAAAACCACCCTAAGAAAGAAATCGTCTTTAGAGTGGTTGTCAGGGGAAGCCCATGTGGGAGCTCCTTAAAGGGCCACTCCAGTGGTCATCCTCTCCTCCCGCAATAACCACACACCTGTACTATGTGTAACTTTGGCAACAGGTTGCAGTCAGCCAGGGTGAGCTCGTTGCCATCCAAAAACTTCCTCTGAGAGACACCTTCATCTTCAGCACTGGTTTCATCCACTTCTTCTGGGAGGGGGGATGTTAAGTAATTGTCTAAAACCTTCAGGGCTTTCAGGAGTCCCTTCTCCAGATCTGTGCAAGAGAGGGAACTGATTAGAACTTCAGGAAAAGATTGACATAGTCCGAAAAGGCCCGTTGGGGGTGGATACTAATGGTGAGTCCAAAATAATAATAGCTAACACTCATGTAGTTACTTTTCTATGTGTTATTCTAAGCACTTTACATTTTATTTTATGTTAGACGGAGTCTTGCTCCGTTGCCCAGGCTGGAGTGCAGTGGCATGATCCCGGCTCACTGCAACCTCTGCCTCCTAGATTCAAATGATTCTCCTGCCTCAGCCTCCTGAGTAGCTGGGATTACAGGTGCCTGCCACCACAACTGGCTAATTTTTGTATTTTTTTCAGTAGAGACCAGTCATGTTGGCCAGGCTGGTCTCCAACTCCTAACCTCAGGTGGTGCGCTAGCCTCGGCCTCCCAAAGTGAACACTTTACATTTTACAAACTCATTTATATCGCCGGGTGCAGTGGCTCACTCCTGTAATCCCAGCACTTTTGGAGGCCGAGGCAGGTGGATCACCTGAGGTCGGGAGTTCAAGACCAGCCTGGCCAACATGGTGAAACCCTGTCTCTACTAAAAATACAAAAATTAGCTGGGCGTGGTGATGCACGTCTGTAATCCCAGCTACTCAGGAGGCTGAGGCAGGAGAATTGCTTGAACCCGGCAGGCAGAGGTTGCAGTGAGCTGATTGCACCACTGCACTCCAGCCTGGGCGACAGAACGAGACTCCATCTCAAAAAAAAAGAAAAAAAAAAATTTATATCAACCCATGAAATAGGTATTGTCATCCTAATTTTGTGGATCTGGAAATGGACTTACAGAGAGGTGAAATGATTGCTCAAAATTATACGGCTAGTTGGATTTGTACTCAGGTAGTCTGGATCTAGAGTGATGACTGTTCTTAAGCATGACCCTATTCTGCCAGAAAACAGGCCAGCAGCCAACTAACGTCCTCAGTGGGGCAGAAGAGGCTAGGGAACAAATGAGAAAAGCTTAAAAGTCTTGGCCAATGAAAATGCAGGGAAATATAGAGGTAAAGCAAAAATGGGAAGCTGGGGGAAATTTACGAACATCTGCTTCATCTCCCTGATATCTGAACGTCCAGGTGCCCCTAATGTCTCCTACCCGCTGGGTCCTCTCTATTCCTCCCAGGACCCAGGCCTCTGACCCACAAGACTCACTGTCATTGAGTGCTGGGTTTGAATTCTTGATGTAGGCAGAAAATTTGGCAAATATGTCCAGCCCAGCTGTGTTGGACTCAGGGTTCAGAGCTGCCAGCTTGGGGTACCTGAAAGCCAATGGGAAAAATGAGGTAAGATGTCTTCCTGGGAGGAACCTCAGCTAGCTCTCCTGCCCCAGCCCCACCACCATCTCTGTTTTCCATTTCTGCAAACTGTCTGTTTCCCAGAATCTCCCTGCTCCACCTCTCCACTTTCTGAGTGCCCCTATACCTGGGAGGGCACAGCACTGCCTCCAGAAATTCCTCAATCTTGTTGGTGTCTGTGTGCACTTCAGTGCCATACAGCAGGAATGGGAGCTGCCCCCCTGGGCACAGCTTCTGCACTGTCTCGGTCCGCCTGGAGAAAGGATCAGGAATCAGGACTGGAAATGGGGGTCAGGAAGAACCAGAAAGGGGGAATGGAGGACGTGGGATAAGAAAGGGACTCCAGGGGGAGGGCAAAAATGTTCATGACAGAAGGACTCGGGTGGGTGTGTGTTTGCACACATGTGTACACCAGGGGTGTTTCAAGGAACATAAGCAGGCCTACCTTTTGGTGTCAACGGTGGTAACATTGAAGGTGACTCCCTTGAGCCACAGTACCATGAACAGTCTCTGGGAGAATGGGCAGTTCCCAATCTTGGCCCCATCACTGCCAGCCTGAAAAGTAACCCCAACCCAAGGTTATGCCTGATGCACCCCACCCATCCCTAGGCCAGTCCCTGCATTCCCACTCCCAGACCAGCTGTTTTCTGCCTAGTCATGACACATACACTGTCCCCTCACTATGGGCTCTTTGCCCTTGGGCCTGGGTCAAACCTAAGGCAGATCAATGGGAAACTGTTTTGCAAAGGCAGGCTTCTGGTTCCCCAGACACTGAGGACAGGTGGGAGGTAGGTAGAGGGAGGAGGTCCTGGAGAACTTGGGAGGATCTGAATCCTAGAGAGGGAAGGGTGTGGAACTTCAGTGAGGCCAGAGTTGTAGGCTAGAAGCCTGGATTTCTGGGTTCCTGAAGGGAGTAGAGTCTGAAGACAGGAGAGGTGGGTGGGGTTTGGGAGCCAGAGTTTTGGTTCTCTACACCTCCAATCCAAGGTGTCTTTGGGTGGGGAGTCTAGTCAAGGGGCCCTGGGCCTCGCGCTAGAGATGTGGAGGGCCCTACAGAGAGGGGCTGCCCTCTAATTAGCAAGTGGTGACCTCATTGGCCCAAGGGACACCTCCCCCTAAGCTGAGGGTGATTCATCTCTCTGTCTCCGGCTTCCTTCCTGTCAAGGATGTGGGGGAAGGGACAGTGAGGATGAGGCCTGGGCAGCTAAGGCTACCCCTAACCTGTTGCCAGGGTCTCCCAGCACAAGTCCTCTGACTGCAATAACCATCCTCTCACAGGACACAGGGCCGGAATCTCTGCGGCACAGCCTCACCCACGAGTAAAAATAGCCCCGGAGGCGAATGTGAGAGTGAGGTGGGGACCACACCTAAGGGGGCGGACCCAAGCAGGCTCCGACTTCCCTGGGCCCAGGGAGAGGGAATGGCTGCCCGAGAAACCCAAGCAGAAGGGAGAGGGAGACACAGGCAGAGACACACAAAGATGAGAGAAACAAAAGGGGGGAAGGGGAAAGAAAGGCGGCAGGAAAGTGGAGAGTGGGGAGACGTGCGTGCCAACGGAGAGACACAAACGGAGCGGGGAGAAGAGGACACTGTTAAGGAAGGGAGGGAGGGGCACAGCCAGGAGGTCCCAAGACTGGGAAATGAATGCAGCAGCGGTAGGGAGGGGAGCGGCCGCTGCAATCAGAGGGGGGCTGGGTGACACCGAGAAGCCTGCTGCCTGCAGTTTTGCTACCCAAATGCCATAGGACCATCTCTCCTTACCCACACCCGCAGAGAGAGGAGAGAGTTGGGGCAAGTCTTCTACTTCTCCAACCCCCAAATCCCAAAATGCCCTAACCGAGCTCTTCTCCTCCGTCTGATCTCTCTCCCACCCATCCTTGTGGTAGCTACGTTAAACTCACGTCTTCTTGCCACCTCCCCTTCTGTCCCTTTCCCCAGTCCTGGGGATATTCAATGCCACCCGATCACCTCTCCAGCTCTGCTTTTCAAACTCCGATCCCAGTCTCCTGTTTTGTTCCGCCCCTCCAAAGCTTCCCAATTTACTTGCTCTCACTCTCAGGCCTCCCTCAACACACCGTCTTCCCTGAAGCGTCTCCATCCACACACACACACACACACACACACACACACACACACACACACACACACACCTCTCCTACTGCACTACTCACCCTCAGATCTTGTAGGGACACATGTCCTAACTGAGGTTCCCCTCTGTCCCTTCTAAACCCTGCTGGGCCCCCACTGTCCCTTCACCAGCTCGCCCTCTAACCCCACCCCAGTCTCACTTTTGGGAATTCTCCTTTTTCTCCACTTCCCTTCCTTTAGTCTGCTAGAAACTTGCACTTTTACAAACTTTTCAGGGTTGATCCTAGAATTCTCATTACTTGCTAACAAGTTAATGTCTTCCCCTCTCAAAACCACCCCTCAACCAAAGAGTGCACGTGGGATTGGGGGTGGGAGTCAAGGAGGGAAGGGATTGGGGAGTTAAGGCTGGACCGGGGGAAAGGTGAGAGTTGGCTTCCAGGAATTTGGGTGGCTGAGGAGAGAAGTGTTCTTACCTTCACGAACAATTCGACCTGCGGTTGTTCTTCAGCCATGGTTGCGTCGGGGACCAGGAAGTGGCCGTCCCTGGGGGAACTGGGAGGGGCTGGGACCGGGGAAGGCGGGTCTCACACTCAGGGACTCTCTCCCCTAGACCCAGGGCTGTCCCTTCAGCACAACACAAGCTCAATCAGACCTACTTGCACCCAAACTAGGCCTCCCCACCAGCCCAACGCACCCCACACCCAGCTCCTCCAGCTCGGTCCTCTCCCGGGCTGGATCAGAGAGCCGCTGACTCACCGACCGGCCCCGCCCTGAACCTGGGGAGGGGACTGGAGGGGGGCGGGACTCGACGATGTAGGGAGTGAGTCCGGAAGGGGAATCCTCGGATCTCCCACAGGATGGGGATGGGGGTGTTAAGGAGGAGTCCTGAAAACCTCCTTGTTTCTCCGACCTCTCCTGAACACAGGACTCTTTTCTGCCTCAGTTTCCCTGCTTCATTAATCTGAGTACAACCCGACTGACCCTCATATAAAAAACTTGACACTAACAGCTTGGGCACACCCGTGAAGATTCAGGGATGGGGACTTCAAATGGAAAGGTGGTCGTTTAATCATTCTGCATTTCTTCCAGACTCCAATCCAAATTCTGGGTTGCTGGGACTGTGGTCTGAGAGAAGAACTCGGAAGTGGAAGGCTGGGACTGCAGATAGGAACCGTTAGCCATGCAGCCTGGGATTAGGGAAGGGGTGACGCCAGCACTCCCTGAGCTGCCCAGACTGGTGTCTCAGTAGGTCCTGTGCCCCCCGCAGTCTACTGTCTCCGGGCCCAGCTCAGCACTAGGACTTGCAGTCCTTGTGGCCTACACTTGGGATTGGGCATAGGAAATAGAGTTAGGGGCCGGGTGAGGTGGTTCACGCCTGTAATCCCAACACTTTAGGAGGCCAAGGGGGGTGGATCACCTGAGGTCAGGGAGTCAAGACCAGACTGGCCAACATGGTGAAACCCTGTCTCTACTAAAAATACAAAAATTTGCCAGGCGGGGTGGTGGGCACCTGTAATCCCAGCTACTTGGGAGGCTGAGGCAGGAGAATCAATTGAACCCGGGAGGTGAAGGTTGCAGTGAGCTGAGATGGTGCCATTGCACTCCAGCCTGGGCAATAAGAGCGAAACTCCATCTCAAAAAAAAAAAAAAAAAGAAGAAGAAGAAAAGAAAAAGAAAGTAGAGTTAGGGATGGGAAGGGAGATGACGAAGTCTTTTGCGAAGGAAACATAAAGCCGAGGCAAGGGGCTTTGTTGCAGGGAGGGGTCTGTTCCTGTAGCTTGGTCAGCTTTGTGCTTCCACTTATGTTTCCTATTGGGGCCCCTTCCTGTGCCCTTTGTCCTCGTCTCACTGACAGGTTGCCTTGGAGATGGGGCAGAGGGGTGGGATTATCATGGCCCGATCCTGAAGTATGTGTATAGGGGGTGGGGTAGGGGTGTTGTTAGCTGGTCCTGTCATGGGGATAAAGAAAGATCAGACAGAATAGTGGGAGTAGAGTCCTTGGGGACACCTAAATAAATAAGCAGGGAGGACATAGGAGGAGCAGCTCTCTCTCCAGTAACCTTGATTTCTATTAAACCTTTATGACCTGCTGAAAAAATAAACCCAGAATTCCAGCCTCCATATCCTGAATTTCTCTCCTGTCCAACCATCCCTTCTCTATCCTCCTCATCACCCTCTGTCCAACAAAAGACCTACAGTTCCAGAAAACCATGGTGGAGTGCAAGAACACAGAACTAAAACAGAGCTTGAAACTTAAAGAAAGGGAGAGACTTGGGGGAGGAGTGGGGTGGAGTGACGTGATGTGCTGCTGGAAACCAGCAGTTGGTGGTTTCCTCTTGTGCTTCCTCTTCTGTGGGTTTTCTCCTGCTTGTGGGAGGGCCTTTTTCTCTCCTCCCGACAGAAAGGCTATCTTTGGTGTTCGTTCCCTTGAACTGTAACATCCTGTAAGGGTATGATTCCATGCCTCTGTGTGGGTGTGAATTCCCTCATGGTGACCCTCAAAATCTGCACACAGGACCCCTTCCCATTGAGGGGAGGGGATCAAAACAACTCTACTTCTCAGGGTCCTCTCCTGTTCCAACTGGTCTGTGTCCAAGAGAAGCCTTAGGTAAATGGGGCCAGCTTGAAGATCAAACAGGTTTGGCAGCCTCTCCCGGCCTCTCTTTTCTCTCCTACAGCTTTATAGCTACAGCTGCCTTGATATCAATATTGACTTTGGCTGGCTGGCATGACTACCCACAGGGTATCGTGCCTTAATTTACCAGGTGACAGGCAACGCTGCCCTCTCCTGGAACCATCCAGCAGAGCCAGGGCTGTACCCCCAAATCCTGCAACAGAGGTTTCCCTCCATCTCACCTCCCTGTCCCTGCATTTCTCCTATCTCAGTAGCTCCTCTTTCCCTCTCTGGGCTTCTCTTTCCACTCCCTCCCCTTCCTGGGCTTGGTAAACTAGTCCCTAATCTCTTCACACCCCAGATTGGAAGGTGGGTCCCTCCCTGACACTCCCCAGAGCTGTCACCAACCTCCTCCAAGTTTCTATAGCTCCATTGCTCAACAGATTTGCCAGGGGTAACCATTAACCCAGCCCTTAACTCTGTTCCCCCACCTTTCTTGCTGGAGGGGATTTTCCAATTACTGGTTAGCACAGCTAGGTCATCTCACCCCCACCATCTTTCCTAACTTCTTGGGTTGGGGGGCTGGGGAGGAATCTCCCCATCTCAGGGTACTAGGAACAAAGCTGGGGAGGATGGTGCATTTAAAGGGATTATATATATATATATATATTTTTTTTTTCTTTCTCCCTCATAACCCCACCCCCGCAACACACACACACACACACACACACACACACACACACACACAGACGCACAAATAAGCTTTATGGAGCAGTGACTTCATTATGTTCACCGCTTTGAGTCCAACCCCTGGCCCAAAATAGGCACTAAATAGTTGCCGAATGCATGAATGATAGATACCTCTCTGTCTTCAGGGGTGTGTAGAAGTGCGAAGGGGTATGGGCATGTCCCAGTAGGGGTGTGAGTGTTCTGATCAGAACTACTTCTCTCTGCCAGAATTTGATGTAATTCGAATGCTTCCACCTCTGCTTGAAGGGTTTAAATAATAAATTAGGCCCTGTCGTGCCATTATGGGGGTGGTCATACCCTGTACCCAGGAAACAGGCACGGTAGGGCTGAGACAGAAGTCCTGCTTGTTTCCGCTTATTTATTTGAAACACCGCTCATTTAGGTCTTACTTTGTTTGCCAGGCACTGTTCTAAGCTCTGTATAAATATTAACTCAGAGGGTACAAATATTAACTTAAGAGTTGTTGCAGGAAAAAAAATAAGCGCCTCTGGCTCTTTAAGTTTGGCCTCCCCCTCAAAACCCCCGCAACGGTCCCAAACCCCTTCCAGGGACTGGGACTACGGACCCTGGTCCGACCTTCTCGCGGGCTTCCCACTGCGCCAATCAAATCCCAGAAACAGTGAGTGCTAGAGGCCCGGCTGCTAAGCAACGGCAGAGGGCGGGAAGTTTGAACGTTCTGGACCCGCCCCGAAGGCAAATAGGCCAATCAGCGTCCAGACTCTTCAGCTACGGCAGTCCGCTTCTCCTCCTCGCCCTGTCGGATCTCTAGGCTGGATCCGGGCCTCTCCAATCAACAGCGGCTAGGAGGGCGGGGCGCGTGCGCGCGCACCTCGCTCACGCGCCGGCGCGCTCCTTTTGCAGGCTCGTGGCGGTCGGTCAGCGGGGCGTTCTCCCACCTGTAGCGACTCAGGTTACTGAAAAGGCGGGAAAACGCTGCGATGGCGGCAGCTGGGGGAGGAGGAAGATAAGCGCGTGAGGCTGGGGTCCTGGCGCGTGGTTGGCAGAGGCAGAGACATAAGACGTGCACGACTCGCCCCACAGGGCCCTCAGACCCCTTCCTTCCAAAGGGTAACCTCCGCGTGACAGGAATGAGGGTGGGGCGCGTGGAGTTTCCCACAATCTGTACTTTAGTTAAATACCCGAGAATTCACCTCCTGTGTCCACAGCTCTCCACGCCCCTCAGCCCTGCCCCGCAGCCCTGTAGCAGAAGTACTTAGTGCTTTGCATTCTGCGCGCCACCCTACCCCGGCCTCCTCTGTGAATCGTTGCTTCCGAACCGCCCTCACTTTTTGCATCCGCAGAGCCTCCAAGCTCATGGCCTCCTTAGGAGCGAACCCAAGGAGGACACCGCAGGGACCGAGACCTGGGGCGGCCTCCTCCGGCTTCCCCAGCCCGGCCCCAGTGCCGGGCCCCAGGGAGGCCGAGGAGGAGGAAGTCGAGGAGGAGGAGGAGCTGGCCGAGGTCTCTGAGGGGAGTAGAAACTTGAATGGAGAGTTGATGGGAAGTTAGAATAAAAGAGGGTTGGGAGCCGGGCGCGGTGGCTCACACCTGTAATCTTAGCACTTTGGGAGACTGAGGCGGGCGGATCACCTGAGCTCAGGAGTTGGAGACCAGCCTGGGCAACATGGCGAAACCCCGTCTCTACTAAAAATATAAAAATTAGCCGAGCGTGGTGGCACGTGCCTGTTATCCCAGCTACTGGGAAGGCTGAGGCAGGAGAATCACTGTAACTCGGGAGGCGGAGGTTGCAATGAGCTGAGATTGCTCCACTGCACTTCAGCCTGGGCGACAGAGCAAGACTCCGTCTCAAAGAAAGAAAGAAAAAAAAAACAGGGTTGGGAAGAGCTGGGCAAGTCTCTTACCTCCTGAGTGGCTGTTTCACATTCACTAAATGGGGGTGATGATGCCTATCTCAGAGATTTGAGAAAATGATTAAATTATATAAGACATGGTAAACCCTACACTTATGAGTGATTCTAATAGTGATTTCCTTTCTTCCTTGCTGGACAGATCCATCTGTGTGTGCTGTGGAATTCAGGATACTTGGGCATTGCCTACTATGATACTAGTGACTCCACTATCCACTTCATGCCAGATGCCCCAGACCACGAGAGCCTCAAGCTTCTCCAGAGAGGTGGGGATGGAACCATGAATTCCTCTGCTCTCTGGGATTGCAGATGTGTTACACACACACACACACACACACACACACACACACACACACACACACACATATTTTTTTTTTCTAGACAGAGTCTTGCTCTGTTACCCAGGCTCAAGTGCAGTGGCGCAATCTTGGCTCACTGCAGCCTCCACCTCCTGGGTTCAAGCAATTCTCCTGACTCAACCTCCCGAGTAGCTGGGACTACAGGCGTGTGCCACCACACCCAGCTAGTTTTTTGTGTGTGTTTTTAGCACAGATGGTGTTTCACCATGTTGGCCAGGGTGGTCTCAAACTCCTGACCTTGTGATCCGCCCACCTTGGCCTCCTAAAGTGCTGGGACTACAGGTGTGAGTCACCACGCCCAGCCATGTTTTACTTACATTAACTCACCTCACTGTCTAGCATATTTTGTGTTGCTGTAAGGAAATACCTGACTCTGAGTAATTTGTTAAAAAAAAAAAAAAGTTTTATTTGGCTTATGGTTCTGGATGGTTGGAAAGCTCAAAATTGGGCATCTTCACTGGTGAGAGCCTCAGACTGCTTCAACTCATGGAAGAAGGGAAGGCAGGGTGTGTAGAGGTCACATGGCAGAGAAGAAGCAAGGGGGAGGGAGATGCCAGGCTCTTTTTGACAACCAGCTCTCTCAGGAACTAATAGAGTGAGAACCTCTCACTCATACCCACCAACACACTCCAGGAAGGGCATTAATCTGTTCATGAGCGATCCACTCCCATCACCCACACACCTCCTGCTAGGCCCTACCTCACAACACTATCACACTGGGGATTAAATTTCAACACGATATTTGGCAGGGACAAATCACATCCAAACTATAGCACTGACTCAATATATTTTACAGTTGCTTCACAGAGGCTCCCTCTTTTGTTTTTATGAATTCATTTCATTATTTAACAAATATTTGTGAGGTTGTTTTTTGGTTTGTTTGGTTGTTCTTTTTTGAGACAGTGTCTTGCTCCGTCACTCAGGCTGGAAGTGTAGTGGTGCCATCTTGGCTCACTGCAACCTCCGTCTCCCGGATTCAAGCAATTCTCCTGCCTCAGTCTCCCGAGTAGCTGGGATTACAAGAATCTGCCATCACGCCTGGCTAATTTTTATATTTTTAGTAGAGGCAGGGTTTCACCACGTTGGCTAGGCTTGTCTTGAGCTCCTGGCCTCCAGTGATCTGCCTGCCTTGGCCTCCCAAAGGGCAGGGATTATAGGCATGAGCCACTGTGCCTGGCCACAAATATATATGACGTATTTACAATGTTTCAGGTGCTTCAGATTCAGCCCTGGGCAAATCAGTCATGTCTGTTCTCCAGGGGTTTACAGCCTAGTGACAACATCCAGAACATCCCACTTCCCTCTCACCATCCCACCACTCTTAACTACTTTTCTAAATCTCAACTTCTACCTGTGTTCCCACTGTGCAGAGCACTCCCTACTCCTAGGGAGGAAATGTTTTTGAGAAGGAGAGGGGTAGGAAGAGGAGGGCTATGGGTTTTCTCTTAGTCAAAGACAAAGATCCTTTAACTCATTTGATCTCTGTTCTCCTTCCAAGTTCTGGATGAGATCAATCCCCAGTCTGTTGTTACGAGTGCCAAACAGGATGAGAATATGACTCGATTTCTGGGAAAGCTTGGTAAGGACTTGGTAAAGGATAGAGGGAAAATGGGGAAGGACTAATATATGGAATATTCCAGGGGGCTAGAATTGGGTGAGAGGGAGTGTCAGACAGAGGTAGAAGGACTGAGATGTAAAGAATGATAGCCTTTTCTTTCCTCCCCCACAGCCTCCCAGGAGCACAGAGAGCCTAAAAGACCTGAAATCATATTTTTGCCAAGTGTGGATTTTGGTATCTCCTTCCTTTTGCTTAGCCTAACTCCCTGTTCCGGTGTCCCATTCTTTCCCCCAACTCTACCTTCATCATCACAGATCTCCCCTCTGCCTTATGTCATCCTAAACCTTTGTGCTCCTCATGCCCTATGACCTGTCCCCCCAAGATCTCTCCTGCTCCCTACCCTTTAATAACCTGCAGCTTATTGGGAAGCCTCTGCTTAAGTCATGTCTAGGGATGAGGGCCTCCCCTGAGGAGTGGTGACACTTTTTGGACAGGGTTTTATTGTTGGAATTCTCCCCATTAAGTTAAAGCCTTTTATCACCAAACCAAAAGGCACTGCCTCAGTGACCCTTATTATGATCCATAAGGCACTTCTATAACTTTCCTAGGTTTACAATAAGAACAGGAGTGTACTATCCTAATTAGATATTAAGGCATTAGTGTTACTAGTTCTATTAATACCATTATTTTGACCAAAATCCTCAATTCCAGACAGATGTCTACTTTCCTCAGCCATTTATCTTTCTCAGGCTGTGCTTTCAGACAAGTATCTTTATATTATATGTAGAATAAAAAGAGAATTAGACTAAGAGTCTGAAAATTTGGTTCTTGCTCTAGCTTTCCATTAACTGCCTGTGTGAGCTTGGGCAAGTCAAATAATCTCTCTTGCTTCTATTGTCTCATTCTTAAAATGGGGTGAAAAAATTGAGCTACAAGACCGTTCCCTTTGCTTGCCTCCCTCAAATAGGTCTGGAGATAAGCAAACAACGCCTCCTTTCTGGAAACTACTCCTTCATCCCAGACGCCATGACTGCCACTGAGAAAATCCTCTTCCTCTCTTCCATTATTCCCTTTGACTGCCTCCTCACAGTGAGATTGGTCCTGGGGGATAAGGGCTGGGAGGCGGCACAAGTGCTAGGGCTGAATTCTGGGAGGTACTGGCCTAGCCCTGGAAAATAGTAACTTTCCCTGGTGCTCTGCAGCCCCCAGGAGATTTAAGATTTACCCCGATTCCACTGCTGATCCCCTCCCAGGTTCGAGCACTTGGAGGGCTGCTGAAGTTCCTGGGTCGAAGAAGAATCGGGGTTGAACTGGAAGACTATAATGTCAGCGTCCCCATCCTGGGCTTTAAGAAATTTATGTTGTAGGTGATTCACCCCAACCCCAACCAAAGTAATGTGGGATTGGGAGGCCTGAAAAGTAAAGTGGGGGTGGGGTGTGGATGTGGCTGTGACCCAGTGGGTCAAGTGCTCTAGGACACCCGGGAGAATCTAAGGGCTAATGAGACTTTGGGAAGAAGACTGGGACAATATTCAGAGAGGGGGACAAAGGAAGTGGAGTTGTGGAACGAACTCAGACTGCTTCCTGCTTTTTTGTTTTCTGTCCTCAGGACTCATCTGGTGAACATAGATCAAGACACTTACAGGTAAAGAGGTGGAGGCATGCTGCTGTCTCTGGGGAGGGAGAAGGATTAAGTTTAATGCCCCAATAATCCTAATGAGGCTCTAGTTTCCCTAATCCTGGGGCTATTAAGATCTCTCTCCTTGAAGGAAAGGGAAGGGGGGTTTTGAGGGAAAGAGAGGAAGAAAAGCATAAAGATACTAGCTTTCTTTTCTATAGGGAGAAACTGAGGCAAAGAAAAGTAAGGGACAAACCTTACATCAAGATATGATCTCGGCTGGGCGCGGTGGCTCATGCCTGTAATCCCCGCGCTTTGGGAGGCCAAGGCGGGTGGATCGCCTGAGGTCAGGAGTTTGAGACCTGACCAATATGGTAAAACCCCGTCTCTACTAAAAATATAAAAATTAGCTGGGTGTGTTGTGCGCCTGTAATCCCAGCCACTCAGGAGGCTGAGGCAGGATTGCTTGAATCCAGGAGGCAGAGGTTGCAGTGAGCTGAAATTGCACCACTGCACTCCAGCCTGGGCGACAGAGCGAGACTCCATCTCAAAAAAAAAAAAAAAAAAAAGACGTGATCTCAGGAGGATATCCCCTGTCCCCATTCCATTTATCAGTCCTCAATTCTTATTCCCTTCAAAAGTCCAAGTTACCCCAAACTCCTCCATTTCTCCTCGACAGTGTTCTACAGATTTTTAAGAGTGAGTCTCACCCCTCAGTGTACAAAGTGGCCAGTGGACTGAAGGAGGGGCTCAGCCTCTTTGGTAGGTGTGCCCCATCCCTCATCTCACATTACAAAGACCTACCAGAAAAGCAATTGGCTCCAAAGATGTGTCCCAGCCTCCCTTCCCACTTCACTCCCATTGTCAGATATCTCTTTCATGCCAATCCAAATTTCTTACCTATTTGTACCCCCCGCCCCCCAAGCTTGAGCATCTTCCCATACTTTGTGGCTGTACAGTGTTGTTGCATATCAGCCATTACTTTACCAATTCTGTGTTCCTTCCCTGGGTTTGTATGAATGTTTCTACTAGTTGGGTACCTGTTAGGGACTTTGGGAGACCTTGTGTATAGAGAAGAGTTTTGTAACTGCATAACTGCCTATTTGATTTGTATAGAGTCTTTATCAGTTGTCTCTGGCTTTAGGGTATATTAGGGACATCTCCGCAAATATCCATATAGTTTCATATCTCAGTAAGTTGTGTCCAGGTTTTTTTTTTTTTTTTTTGAGGCAGAGTCTCGCTCTGTCGCCCAGGCTGGAGTGCAGTGGTGCAATATCAGCTCACTGCAAGCTCTGCCTCCTGGGTTCACACCATTCTGCTGCCTCAGCCTCCTGAGTAGCTAGGACTACAGGTGCCCACCACGATGCCTGGCTAATTTTTGTATTTTTAGTAGAGAACGGGTTTCACTGTGTTAGCCAGGATGATCTCGATCTCCTGACCTCGTGATCCGTCCACCTCGGCCTCCCAAAGTGCTGGGATTACAGGCGTGAGCCACCGCGCCTGGCCAGTTGTGTCCAGTTTTGTGTGTGTGTGTGTGTGTGTGTGTGTGTGTGTGTGTGTGTGTGTGACGAAGTCTCGCTCTTGTCCCCCAGGCTGGAGTGCAATGGTGCGATCTCGGCTCAATGCAACCTCTGCCTCCTGGGTTCAAGCGATTCTCCTGCCTCAGCCTCCTGAGTAACTGGGATTACAGGCACCTGCCACCACGCCCAGCTAATTTTTGTATTTTTAGTAGAGACGGGGTTTCACCATGTTGCCCAGGCTGGTCTTGAACTCCTGACCTCAGGGGATCCACTCGCCTCAGCCTCCCAAGGTGCTGGGATTACAGGCATGAGCGACCGCGCCCGGCCGTCCAGTTTTTTACATATGTGTGTTGGGCTCTTGAGTTTTTTGTTTGTTTGTTTGTTTTTTAGATGGAATCTTGCTGTGTCACCCAGGCTGGAGTGCAGTGGTACAATTTAGGCTCACTGCAACCTCCGCCTCTTGGGTTCAAGTGATTCTTCTGCCTCATCCTACCTCAGCCTCCTGAATAGCTGGAACTACAGGCCTGCACCACCATGCCCAGCTAATTTTTTTGTATTTTTAGTAGAGATGGTGTTTCGCCATGTTGCCCAGGCTGGTCTCAAACTCCTGAGCTCAAGTGATCCTCCTGCCTTGGCCTCCCAAAGTGCTGGGATTATAGGCATGAGCCACCCTGCCCGGCCAGCTATTGAGTTTTTGTATTTTTGGAGGGGCGGGAGGGCTCTTGAGTTTTTTGTGTTTTGTTTGTTTGTTTATTTGTTTCGTTTTGTTTTGAGACGGAGTCTTGCTCTGTCACCCAGGCTGGAGTGCAGTGGCGCGATCTCCGCTCACTGCAAGCTCTGCCTCCCGGGTTCATGCCATTCTGCTTCAGCCTCCCGAGTAGCTGGGACTACAGGTGCCTGCCACCATGCCCGGCTAATTTTTTGTATTTTTAGTAGAGACTGCGTTTCACCATGTTAGCCAGGATGGTCTCGATCTCCTGACCACGTGATCCGTCTGCCTCGGCCTCCCAGAGTGCTGGGATTACAGGCGTGAGCCACCGTGCCTGGCCAGTTCTTGAGTTTTAACTAGGTCTGCTTTGTGTATTTTTCTGGCTAAGTGTCCCTGTGAGTGTCCATCCCTTCCCCCATCTCCATGTACGGTAATCCCAGCTCATATTTGTGGCCAGGCACCAGCTTTGGCTGCCTTTGTGCCCTCCCAGGCCAGCTTCCTCAACAACCAGCACCTCTGACCTGGATGCCTCAGCTTAGACACATAAACACATTCCATTCCCTGTCCCTGCCTTGTAACAAGTTCACTCCCTGCCTTATCCCTCACAGGAATCCTCAACAGATGCCACTGTAAGTGGGGAGAGAAGCTGCTCAGGTGAGTGGGTCCCACACATACTACACACTAATGCATGAATTCCATATGCACACTACATACTAAAGCCTACTAATGGCAGTATACAGATTCTCACATACACCACCCCACCTAGTAGTAGTAAAGCAACTGCCCTTTACTGAGCACTGGCTAACTGCATTTCATCCTTATAACAGCTTTGTGTAGTAGCTGATATGCATCTCATTTTTTGTTGTCAGCGCAGGTACACATATACCCATTGATGATACACAGACTTGCACACATACAAGCAGCAGGAAAAAACACAAAATGTAAGGCCGGGCACAGTGGCTCACACCTGTAATCCCAGCACTTTGGGGGGCCAAGGTGGGTGAATCACTTGAGGTCAGGAGTTTGAGACCAGCTGGCCAACATGGTAAAGCCCCATCTCTACTAAAATGCAAAAATTAGCCAAGCATGTTGGTAGGTGCCTGTAATTCCAGCTACTCAGGAGACTAAGGCAGGAGAATCGCTTGAACCCAGGAGGTGGAGGTTGCAGTGAGCCAAGATTGTGCACTGCACTTCAGCCTGGGCAACAGAGTGAGACTCCGTCTCAAAAAAAAAAAAAATGCTAATGTAACACATGGCTATGTTAGCATGGTTATCTTTAGTTATAGAAAACACACTTCACATTTCTGTGATGACTCTCAAATTTGTGTCTCTAGTTTTGAACTCCGTATGTGAATGTTAATTGCATATCACCACCTGCAGTTTTCACAGGCAGCTCAAACTCAGAGCATCCAAACTGATGCCCACCAGATCTGTTCCTCTTCCTGCATTCCCTTTGCTGGTTAATGGCATTGCTGGCAGTACACCTTCTCAAGCCATGAACCTTGGATTGATGCTAGAAACAAAAAACCTGTCATTCCAAAACAGAGATCTAAGCATGTCACTCCTTTTTTTTTTTTTTTTTTTTTGTGACTGAGTTTCGCTCTTGTTGCCCAGGCTGGAGTACAATGGCACGATCTCTGCTCACTGCAACCTCCACTTCCCGGGTTCAAGCAATTCTTCTGCCTCAGCCTCCCAAGTAGCTGGGATTACAGGCGCCCACCACCACACCTGGCTAATTTTTGTATTTTCAGTAGAGGCGGGGTTTCACCATGTTGGTCAGGCTGGTCTCGAACTCCTGGTGATCCGCCCACCTCGGCCTCCCAAAGTGCTGGGATTACAGGCATGAGTCACTGCGCCTGGCCGTCACTCCACTTTTTAAATAGCCTAAGTAGAAAGAAAATAACATAAACCTTAGGAGGTTTTCCCATTACCTTCAGGATTAAGATTAGCATCTTAAGCAGTATAATGATGTTCAGGGTCCATCACGTTTACCCCAGTTTTAATTTCCAGACTCACCTTCCAAAGCCCCTTCTAAGTCCTTTCCTACTGGATCTACCTTATATTCTAGTCATTTAGGGCCACTTGCCATTATGGAAACATGTCATGCCTGTGTTTATGCTGCTCCTTCTGGAAAGTCTTTTTTTTTTTTTTTTGAGACGGAGTCTCCCTCTGTCACCCAGGCTGGAGTGCAGTGGCGCGGTCTTTGCTCACTGCAACCTCCACCTCCCAGGTTCAAGCAATTCTCCTGCCTCAGCCTCCGGAGTAGCTGGGATTACAGGGACCCACCACCATGCCTGGCTAATTTTTGTATTTTTAGTAGAGATGGGATTTCACCATGTTGGCCACGCTGGTCTTGAACTGCTGACCTCGTGATCTGCCCACCTCGGCCTCCCAAAGTGCTGGGATTACAGGCATAAGCCACTGTGCCCGGCCTGGAAAGTCTTTTCCTTGTTCTGTACCTATCAAAATCTTACATCCAGGTCAGGCGCGGTGGCTCACGCCTGTAGTCTCAGCATTTTGGGAGGCTGAGGTGGGTGGATGATTTGAGGTCAGGAGTTCAAGACCAGCCTGGCCAACTTGGTGAAACTTCACGTCTACCGAAAATACAAAAATTAGCCCAGCATCATGGCGCATGCCTCTAGTACCAGCTACTCAGGAGGCTGAGGCAGGAGAATTGCTTGAACTCGGGAGGTAGAGGTTGAAGTGAGCCCAGATTGCCCCACTGCACTCCAGCCTGGGCAACAGAGTGAGATTCTGTCTTAAAAAAAAAAAAAAGTGCATCCTCTTCAAGGTGCAATCCAACTGTTACCCTTTGGCTTTTACAGGTACCTGTAAGGAGTTGATGTGCACCTTCTTTGTGCTCACATAGTGCTTGTTTATGTTTTTCTAGTTGCACTGTCACATCATGTTAGAATTAGCAGTCAGTGAATCTGCTTGCCTCCATAGCTATGAACTCTATCTAGTAGCTATACCTGTTACCTCAGTGTCTGACACATGGTCTTGTACATAGTAGCACTCAATGTGTGAACACAACGCAAATGTAAACGCACTGGTGACATCATCTCTAAACAGAGTGGAAACCTTTGCTAGCCTCAGGTGCACAATCCTTCCCCTACCTCACCTCCCGCTGCAATGTGTGTCTTGTAGGAGTTAATTTAGGATAATCTCTGAGGTCATCTCCAGGTAATCAGCATCTCCAGGAATCGGCAGGGTAATTTAATTACCCACACATTCTTCAGTGCTTCAGGTGCAGATCTTTAATCTCAGCCACAGATGGGAGGGAGAGAATTCTCAGTGGAGAAGAGAGCTGGATTTAAGGTCGGGGAGGAATGCGTATTCCCCAAATGGAATCAGACAGGGCATGAGATCATATAACTTGAAGAATCATCATATAATCTAATGAACTAAGGACAGGTGACATATTTATTAATATTTCTGTATACGAATTTATTTTAATTTATTAGGAAATACCTCTAACGTACAAAAAGATGTAAATAATAATATAGGGCCAGATGTGGTGGCTCACGCCTATAATCCCAGCATTTGGGAGGCTGAGGCAGGAGGATTGCTTGAGGCCAGGAGTTCAAGAACTAAAAGCTGTACAGGCACCAAGAATATGACTGAATGTCACAGTATGCTCTAAAGGGCACTGTCCTAGGAGTCTGGAGACATGATTTTGAGACTTAGCTGTTCTCATTGGCGGTATGACTTTGGGCAAGTTGCTTATCTTTTAACGGTTTCATTTTCTCAGTTGTTAAATTTACAGTTTGGTTTAACTAAAGTCTCTCCCAGTACGAGCAGGGCGTGAGTCAGAGATACCTAAGTGTTTAGTGCAGCGCATGTGCTTTCTAAAGTGGGGATGGCTATTTACAGACTGGCCTACACTGTTCTGGTGGGAGCCCTCAGTGACCAAGGAGCAGAGGTACCTGAAACCCACCCTTGAAGCCATCTGGATGCTCCGCTTCATTCAAATCTGGGGTGTTCTAACCCAAAGTAACTGGCCACAGACTGCAATGTAAGATACAAATCTTCAGGACCTAGTGTGTGCACATGTTGGCTCTTATATAAGATGGCATCCTTAGTACTTGTTCTATGTAGAAAAGAATTTGTGGGCTCACAAGTCCCTACAGAGTCTCACACTCTCATGGCCAATAAGTATACAGGGATACCCGGAATTAGACAAACACAGATGAGACATTTATTTCTGTATATGAATTTATTTTATTTATTTATTTATTTTTTGAGACAGAGTCTCACTCTGTCACCCATCCTGGAGTGCAGTGGCCTGGCTCATTGCAAGCTCCACCTCCCGGGTTTACACCATTCTGCCTCACCCTCCCGAGTAGCTGGGACTATAGGTGCCCGCCAACACGCCCGGCTAATTTTGTTGTGTTTTTAGTAGAGACGGGGTTTCACCGCGTTAGCCAGGATGGTCTTGATCTCCTGACCTCGTGACCCGCCCTCCTTGGCCTGCCAAAGTGCTGGGATTACAGGCGTGAGCCACCGCACCTGGCCTGAATTTATTTTCATTTATTAGGAAATACCTCCAACACACAAAAAGATGTAAATAATTAGCCGGGCGTGGTGGCTCATGACTGTAATCCCAGCACTTTGGGAGGCCGAGGCAGGTGGAACACCAGAGGTCCGGAGTTTGAGACCAGGCTGGCCAACATGGTGAAACCTCATCTCTACTAAAAATACAAAAATTAGCCGGGAGTGGTGGTGCACCCCTGTAATCCCAGCTACTCCAGAGGCTGAGACACGAGAATCGCTTGAACCTGGGAGGCGGAGGTTGCAGTGAGCTGAGATCGCACCACTGCACTCCAGCCTGGACAACAGAGCAAGACTCTGTCTCAGAAAAAAAAAAAAAGATGTAAATAATAATACTATCGGGCCAGGTGCAGTGGCTTATGCTTGTAATCCCAGCACTTTGGGAGGCCATGGCAGGAGGACTGCTTGAGGCCAGGAGCTTGAGAACAGCCTGGGCAACATAGCAAGACCTCGTCTCTATAAAAACTATTAATAGTAATACAAATGGCCAGGCGCAGTAGCTCATGCCTGTAATTCCAGCACTTTAGGAGGCTGAGGCAGGCAGATCACCTGAGGTCACGATTTTGAGACCAGCCTGGCCAACACAGCGAAACCCTATCTCTACTAAAAATACAAAATTTAGCTGGGCATGGTGGCACACACCTGTAGTTCCAGCTGCTGGGGAGGCTGAGGCAGGAGAATCACTTAAGCCTGTGAGGCAGAGGTTGCAGTGACCCGAGATCCCGCCACTGTACCCTAGCCTGGGCGACAGAGCAAGACTCCATCTCAAAAATAATAATAATAATACAAATATCTATATATCCATCAGCCAATTTAAGAATAAGACATGCCGGGCGCGGTGGCTCATGCCTGTAATCCCAGCACTTTGGGAGGCCGAGGCGGGTGGATCACAAGGTCAGGAGTTCAAGACCAGCCTGGCCAAGATGGTGAAACCCCGTCTCTACTAAAAATACAAAAATTAGCTGAGCACAGTGGCGGGTGCCTGTAATTCCAGAACCTGGGAGGTGGAGGTTGCAGTAAGCCAAGATTGTGCTACTGCACTCTAGCCTGGGCGACAGAGCAAGACTCTATATAAAAAATAAAATAAAAAAAAAGAATAAGACACTATTGGCCGGGTATGGTGACTCACGCCTGTAATCCCAGCACTTTGGGAGCCGAGGCGGGCAGATCACGAGGTCAAGAGATCGAGATCATTCTGGCCAACATAGTGAAACCCTGACTCTACTAAAAATACAACAATTAGCTGGGCATGGTGGCGCATACCTGCAGTCCCAGCTACTCGGGAGGCTGAGGCACGAAAATCACTTGAACCCGGGAGGTGGAGGTTGCAGTGAGCCGAGATCGCATCACTGCACTCCAGCCTGGCGACAAAGCGAGACTCTGTCTCAAAAAAAAAAAAAAACGAAAGAATAAGACATTGTTGTTGAAGCCCCTTAAATGTCCCTCCCCAATCCTTTTTTCTCTGCAGTGTTGACCATTATTATGAATTAAAGCTTATCATCCCTAATGGGACAGTTATGTTTTCACAGGAAGAATATGAAAAGATGAATGTCTGTTGCTGTTACCCAGAGACACTTTCACAGCTAAAAAGACATACAAACTCATACTGACTCACCGTCTCTTACTCAGCCTCAGAGTGAGCTGCAGTGTTGGCACACAAATACCTCAACACACTGCTCTCCTTCTAAAATATTGACAAGCTCCGTTACTTATATACATGGAATGACACACGGTCTTATCCGTTGAAACTGTGATATGTAGACACAATTATGCTCACATCTAGCAATTTTCAGTAGATACATGTAAACACACCTGAATGGGTAGGACACTGCACTTGCCACTACATTCCCATAGCACATCGTGGATACATATTGCCACAATCCCCAGGGACTGCAAGCACACTTTTTGGCAAACTGAGATCAAGATGATAGATGTAACTTGTAGTACCCCCACCCAAACCCTCACTTCCAGGCTATGGTTCACACGTCCGACTCATGACCTGGGGGAGCTCAGTTCTCGTCTGGACGTCATTCAGTTTTTTCTGCTGCCCCAGAATCTGGACATGGCTCAGATGCTGCATCGGCTCCTGGGTCACATCAAGAACGTGCCTGTGAGCCCAGGGTGGAGGGCAGGGAGGTGGGGAAGGAGGTTGAGGGCTGATACTGGGCAGTGGGCTTCTTGAGGGGCATTAGAGTGAGGGAAGAGAAAACAGCGGCTGTAACCTTGTCTGACTGTAGCTGATTCTGAAACGCATGAAGTTGTCCCACACCAAGGTCAGCGACTGGCAGGTTCTCTACAAGGTAAGGCCTTCCTTCTTGAATCCCAAAAGTCCAGGTAAAGGCCCTCAGCCTGTATTCCAGACTGTCTGTACCCTAGACATGCTGTCCAATTTTATTCTACCCTCTTTTTTTTTTTTTTGGAGACAGCCTCGCTCTGTCGCCCAGGCTGAAGTGCCATGGGGCGATCTTGGCTCACTGCAACCTCCGCCTCCTGGGTTCAAGCAATTCTGCCTCAGCCTCCCGAGAAGTTGGGATTACAAGCGCCCGCCACCATGCCTGGCAAATTTTTGTATTTTTAGTAGAGACAGGATTTCACCATGTTGGCCAGGCTGGTCTTGAACTCCTGACTTCAGGTGATCCACCTGCCTCAGCCTCCCAAGGTGCTGGGATTACAGGTGTGAACCACCAGGCCCGGCCTCCCTCTTTTTTTTTTTAACTTTGTATTCAGGAAAATGTAAAAAATATTTAGAATAATATAATTAACCCCCATGTACCCACCATGCAGTTTCAACACTTTAACTTACGCCAATTTTTTTTTTATTTCTTTTTCTTTTTTTTTTTAGACAGAGTCTTGCTCTGTCGCCCAGGCTGGATTGCAGTGGTGCGATCTCGGCTCACTGCAACCTCTGCCTCCCAAGTTCAAGTGATTCTCCTACCTCAGCCTCCCAAATAGCTGGGATTACAGGTGCCCACCACCACACTGGAGTGATTTTTGTATTTTTAGTAGAGATGGGATTTCACCATGTTGGCCAGGCTGGTCTCAAATTCCTGGCCTCAAGTGATCTGCCCATCTCGGCCTCCCAAAGTGCTAGGATTATAGGTGGGAGCCACCGTGCCCAGCCTAGTATGTGTC
The DNA here is from genome assembly GCF_000001405.40 of Homo sapiens. NCBI lineage: Eukaryota > Metazoa > Chordata > Mammalia > Primates > Hominidae > Homo > Homo sapiens. Next base: position 3,010,287 of record NT_167248.2, read on the forward strand.
ATCTATATCTTTTTCTACTTTCCCCTCTTGGATTATTTTGTGGGTTTTGTTGTCGTTTGTTTGTTTTTTTAAATAAGGTCCTGCTTTGTCACCCATACTAGAGCAGAGTGGTGCAGTCATATTTCATTGCAGCCTCTAACTTCTGGGCTCAAGCAATCCTCCCACCTTAGCCTCCAGAGTAACTGGGACTATAAGCCTGAGATGCTGCACCTGGCTTTCTTGGATTATTTTGAAGCAAGTCCCAGCCATTATATCATTTCATCCATAAATATTTCAGTGTAATTTCTTTTTTCTTTTTTTTTTTTTTTTTGAGATGGAGTCTCACTCTGTCACCAGGCTGGAGTGCAGTGGCATGATCTCGGCTCACTGCAACCTCCGCCTCCCAGGTTCAAGCGATTCTCCTGCCTCAGCCTCCCATGTAGCTGGGATAACAGGCACATGCCACCATGCCCAAGTTTTTTTTTTGTATTTTTAGTAGAGACAGGGTTTCACCATGTTGGCCGGGATGGTCTTGATCTCCTGACCTCGTGATCCACCCGCCTCGGCCTCCCAGAGTGCTGGGATTACAGGCGTGAGCCACCTCACCCGGCCAATATTTCAGGGTAATTTCTAAAAGAAAATTATTTTTTAAAAAGAATAACAGTATTGTTATCTTACTTTAAAAATTGTATTATTTGGTATCATCAAATATCTGAAATTTTTCTTTTTTGAGACAGGGTCTCACTCTGTCACCCAGGCTTGAGTGCAATGGCACAATTGTAGCTCACTGCAGCCTCAAACTGTTGGGCTCAAGCGATCCTCCCCCCTCAGCCTCCTGAGTAGCAGGGACCACAGGTGATGGCCATCACACCGAACTAAGTTTTTATTTTTTGCTTGCATTTATTTATTTATTTATTTATTTATTTATTTATTTTTGAGACGGGATTTTGCTCTTGTAGCCCAGGCTGGAGTGCAATGGTGTGATCTCGGCTCACCGCAACCTCCACCTCCTGGGTTCAAGTGATTCTCTTGCCTCAGCCTCCCAAGTAGCTGGGATTACAGGTGCGTGCCACCACGCCCAGCTAATTTTGTATTTTTAGTAGAGACAGGGTTTCTCCCTGTTGGTCGGGCTGGTCTCGAACTCCCGACCTCAGATGATCTGCCTGCCTCGGCCTCCCAAAGTGCTGGGATTACAGGCGTGAGCCATTGCACCTGACCAATTTTTTATTTTTTGTAGAGACAGGATCTCACTATGTTGCTCAAGGTGGTCTCAAACTCCTGAGCTCAAGTGATCCTCCTGCTTGGGCCTCCCAAAGTGCTGAGACTATTGGTGTGAGCCACGATGCCCAGTCAGATGATGGCCCTAGTCCTTTTTAATCTACCGGTTCCTTCTCTATCTTTTCTCTCTTGTTCTTTCTTTCTTTTTCTCTTTTTCTTCTCCTGGCAATTTGTTGAAGAAACTAGATTATTATTTGTCTTATAGTGTTTTCCATTAGCCTGGATTTTGCTGTTTGCATTTCCTAGATGTTTTTGGCACATTTCTCTCTCTTCTATAGTTTCTGTAAATTAATATTTAGTTCTAGAAGCATGATTAGGTTCAGAGTTTTTTTTTTTTCAATACTGTTTTAGAAGTAGAGGAACATAATGTCTGATATGTCCGATTGTCTCTCTTTTTCTGATGTTGGCAAATGTTCTGATGTTTAATACCTAAATCTATTATTCATTTATTTATTTATTTATTTAGTTTGAGGTGAGTCTCCCTCTGTCGCCAGGCTGAAGTGCAGTGGCACGATCTTGGCTCACTGCAACCTCCGCCTCCTGAGTTCAAGTGATTCTCCTGCCTCAGCCTCCTGAGTAGCTGGGACTTACAGGCGCACACCACCACGCCCAGCTAATTTTTGTATTTTTAGTAGAGACGGGATTTCACCATGTTGGCCAGGATGGTCTTGATCTCTTGACCTCAGGTGATCCACCCGCCTCAGCCTCCCAAAGTGCTGGCATTACAGGCGTGAACCACTACACCCAGCCATCTATTAATTCTTTAGCAATTACAAAGTAGTAGCATTTAAATCTCTGATTCTTTCTTCATTTATTAGCCAGAAATTTCTGTAAAGAGAAACTTCCTTTTATGTACTATTTGGTTGCCAAGTGATAGAAATCATATAGAAATACAGAAAATTGCTTGATATTTCCCCCACTCTTTTTTTTTTGAGACAGAGTCTTGCTCTGTCACCAGGCTGGAGTGCAGTGGCACAATCTTGGCTCACTGCAACCTCCACCTCCCGGGTTGGGTTTCAAGTGATTCTCCTGCCTCAGCCTCCCGAGTAGCTGGGACTATAGGCGTGTGCCACCATGCCTGGCTAATTTTTGTATTTTTAGTAGAGACAGGGTTTCACCATGATGGCCAGGATGGTCTTGATCTCTTGACCTCGTGATCCACCCGCCTCGGCCTCCCAAAGTGCTGGGATTACAGGTGTGAGCCACCATGCCCAGCCCTTTTTTTTTTCCCCAATATGGAACGCTTCTTGAATTTGTGTCATCCGTGCCCAGTGGCCGTGCTAATCCCTGTAACCTTCGAAATTTCAGTATATGTGCTGCAGAAATGAGCACCCCCCACCTTTATTTACTAGCTATCAATATGGTAAATTAGTTCCCTAACATTCTCCAAGATAGCCATGAGATTTTTTTGTTTTTTGTTTGTTTGTTTGTTTGTTTGTTTGAGATGGAGTCTTGCACTGTTGCCCAGGCAGGAGTGCAGTGGCGCGATCTCGGCTCACTGCAAGCTCTGCCTCCCGGGTTCGCGCCATTCTCCTACCTCAGCCTCCTGAGTGCCTGGGACTACAGGCGCCCGCCACCACGCCTGGCTAATTTTTTGTACTTTTAGTAGAGACAGGGTTTCACCCTCTTAACCAGGATGGTCTCAATCTCCTGACCTCGTGATCCACCCGCCTCAGCCTCCCAAAGTGCTGGGATTACAGGTGTGAGCCACCGCGCCCGGCCCTGATAGCCGATGAGGTTTTTTTGTCATTGTTCTTCTTGTATCATTACAGACTCATGGCCTTTTATAGCTATATTTCTCTTTCTCCCGACTCTGTACAAACTCCTTTGTTTTAGAGTTTGCACAACCCTCTATCAAAGCACCTACCACCTCACTTTTAAATCTTCTGCATGTATTTCTGTCTTCCTTCCTAGACTGTGAGCACATCTGGGACAGGGACCATATCTTTTTTTGTTTATTTGTTTTGTTTTGAGACAGAGTCTCGCTCTGTCGGCCAGGCTGGAGTGCAATGGCGTGATCTGGCTATAACCTCCACCTCCCGGGTTCAAGAGATTCTCCTGCCTCAGCCTCCCAAGTAGCTGGAATTACATGTGCATGCCACCAAGCCCAGTTAATTTTTTGTATTTTGAGTAGAGACAGGGTTTCACCATGTTGGTGAGGCTGATCTCGAACTCCTGACCTCAGGTGATCTACCCACCTCAGCCTCCCAAAGTGCTGGGATTACAGGCATGAGCCACTGTGCCTGGCCAGGACCATATCTTAATTGTCTTTGTAGTTTCAGTGTTTGGTACAGTGCCTCTCACTGTTTCTTTTTGCCTTTGAGATCTTCCCTCTTTGTTACTGTGATCTTCCCTACTGGTCTTTGTTCTTCTGAGTCTGTCCCTATCACCACCTCAACCCGAGCTGGATGTGGCCTGTCCTCCTTTTTGTGTTTCTCTCACAGACTGTGTACAGTGCCCTGGGCCTGAGGGATGCCTGCCGCTCCCTGCCGCAGTCCATCCAGCTCTTTCGGGACATTGCCCAAGAGTTCTCTGATGACCTGCACCATATCGCCAGCCTCATTGGGAAAGTAGTGAGTAGAAGGAAAAAGGGAGTGCACCCAGGGAGGTCAGGGAGAGAGAATGCAGTGTGCAAGATGGGGAAACATGGAAGATATTGAGGTCAATTGGATAAAGAATGGGATGGTGGGAGGAGGCAGCAGAACTTCAGGGAAGTATCTGGAGGGTGAGAGTTAAAGGAGGACTGCAGGGAGAATTGGGGCCCAAGGAGAGCTGAGGAACAGGACAGAGGGTGCCAGGTCCTAAGAAACAGTACTTATCTCCTCAGGTGGACTTTGAGGGCAGCCTTGCTGAAAATCGCTTCACAGTCCTCCCCAACATAGATCCTGAAATTGATGAGAGTGAGTGTTGGGTGTGGATGGGCCTGTGAGCCCTGCGCAGTGATGGAGTACCATCCTTGGCAGGTGGTCACCACAGCTGGGGATCTTCATAGCAACCAGGGCAGGAGACTCACTTTTGATAACCACGTGTCTTCCACCCTCGTAGAAAAGCGAAGACTGATGGGACTTCCCAGTTTCCTTACTGAGGTTGCCCGCAAGGAGCTGGAGAATCTGGACTCCCGTATTCCTTCATGCAGTGTCATCTACATCCCTCTGGTGAGGGCAGGAGAGTGGGTGTAGCCTTCAGATGTCTTTTGGGGGAGATATTAGGCTTATGAAAGACATACTGGTAGATAAGAAAACTTGTGGGGCAGCCTGAAGAACATGAACACTTTTTTGTGGGGATACAGGGATCTTTTAAGCTCCCTCTAGGGTGGGGAGGTGTCCAGTAAGTCTCCAAGCAGGAGAGTAGAGTATCTCCTCTTTACTCTCCCCAGATTGGCTTCCTTCTTTCTATTCCCCGCCTGCCTTCCATGGTAGAGGCCAGTGACTTTGAGATTAATGGACTGGACTTCATGGTAAGACCCTCAACCTCTGTAAGGTGAGTGATGAGGAAAATGAGTCAGCAGCTGAGGAAGAGCGTTACTCTACAGCAGCACTGCCCAATATGGGATCTCTCCTCTGTAGTTTTACTCTGAGCTTTACCAGCACTGAGACAAAGGAAAGAGAAGTCAGAGTTAGGGGCTGGAGGTGGGGTTAGAAAGATGGGGAAGGAGAGGAGGACCAAGAGATGCAAAGTCCACAGCTTTGAACCCCTGTACCCAGTTTCTCTCAGAGGAGAAGCTGCACTATCGTAGTGCCCGAACCAAGGAGCTGGATGCATTGCTGGGGGACCTGCACTGCGAGATCCGGGGTGAGGAAAAGCCAGAGGTTATATGCATTGTAAGATGTTTAAAAAAAGCAGCAGCCAGGGGAAGGAGGGGAGTGGGCAACTTGGGGATGCTTCCAACAGGCCCCTCCTCTTCCTGCTCTCTGTCTCGCTCACTCTGACTCTATCTTTTCCTCTGAATGTCTTGAGGTCTCAGATTGTATCTGCAACCTGTTTCCAGATCCCCCTAGGGGCCTCTGCCTCTCCTTCACTTTCCCCTGGAACTGACCTCCAGCTCCCTTCCTCACCCACTCCCAGACCAGGAGACGCTGCTGATGTACCAGCTACAGTGCCAGGTGCTGGCACGAGCAGCTGTCTTAACCCGAGTATTGGACCTTGCCTCCCGCCTGGACGTCCTGCTGGCTCTTGCCAGTGCTGCCCGGGACTATGGCTACTCAAGGCCGCGTTACTCCCCACAAGTCCTTGGGGTACGAATCCAGAATGGCAGGTAAGAATAGAGGCGGGTGGAGGAATAGACATGAGGGGCCCAAAGGCTACATCTTCTGGGGGTTCATCTATCTTGATCCACAAGCCATGCGAGGTGCCTCTCCGCCCACTGCAGACATCCTCTGATGGAACTCTGTGCCCGAACCTTTGTGCCCAACTCCACAGAATGTGGTGGGGACAAAGGGAGGGTCAAAGTCATCACTGGACCCAACTCATCAGGGAAGAGCATATACCTCAAACAGGTGAGGAGAAGCCCTGCAGCCTGGGCCTCTGGCGTCTCCTGCATCTACTCCACCCCTACTTGCCAGCCAACTCAGGCTCCTGCAGCTCTTCTCCCATTTTCTGACCCCGCTCTTCATGAAAGGACCATCACCCACATCCCTGTGCTTCCACCTCACATGTTCTTATTCTCCACTGGAGAGCCATGCTCTAATGGAACTTTCCGTGGCCCAAATTCCTTCACCTGCCTCTGAGTAGGTACACACCACTCCCAAGTATGTCTCTGCCCACGTCCCGTGCCTCTTCACTGATTCTAAATTAGCCCACAGGGCTATGGTCAGGATTCGGGGAGGAGAGACAGAGTCAGTGTGTCTGTTACCTATTTCTCCTGTTTCACCCTGTCCATTTCTCTTTGATGTGCCATTCATGCCTTGAGCCTCACTTTCACCTCAGCCCACGGCACCAGGCCCCAGGCCCTGTCTCCTTCCCTATTCAGGTAGGCTTGATCACATTCATGGCCCTGGTAGGCAGCTTTGTGCCAGCAGAGGAGGCCGAAATTGGGGCAGTAGACGCCATCTTCACACGAATTCATAGCTGCGAATCCATCTCCCTTGGCCTCTCCACCTTCATGATCGACCTCAACCAGGTCAAAGGGAACAAAGGGAGGTGGGATTGAGGAAGGGGATAATGGGAAAGGAACCCCTGAAAATGCTCATAACAGGAAAGCATGCCCTCTGCTGCATGCCCTTTATACTAAAAGTGGGGAGCACTAAGGTCAGAGATAAGAAGAATCAATACCATAAACATTTCTTGAACCCTTGTTTCATGTGAGTCACTGTTGGCAAAGAGGATGAACAAAGCGTGCACCTCACCATTCAAGAACTTGCAGTGCAGTAGGGAGGGCATGTATACAGCTTTATTCACAGGCCAACTGTGGTCAGTGCGTTACGGGCTTCCAATACTAACTTTCCCTTGTCCACCTTATACCCAGCAGGTGGCGAAAGCAGTGAACAATGCCACTGCACAGTCGCTGGTCCTTATTGATGAATTTGGAAAGGGAACCAACACGGTGAGGGGAGAAACTGATGAGGGGAGAAACTAAGGAGGGGAAAATGGAGGAGGATGAAGGAGCATGACAGTGAGGCTGGGCCTCTGGAATGGAATAGGGCTGTGTGGGCAGAAAAGAAATAGAACACGAGACAGGGAAAGGCAGTGCAAGTGCAGAGGGGCATATGGGGTCCCCATGGCTCCGAATGCTAACCTCTGCCCTCTTTGCAGGTGGATGGGCTCGCGCTTCTGGCCGCTGTGCTCCGACACTGGCTGGCACGTGGACCCACATGCCCCCACATCTTTGTGGCCACCAACTTTCTGAGCCTTGTTCAGCTACAACTGCTGCCACAAGGGCCCCTGGTGCAGTATTTGGTGAGGAGACCAATCTAGCTCCTCGGGGACCCCCAGGCTGGGCATTTCCCAGAGGTGGGGATTGGCTCCTCTATCAGAACAAGGGCTCCCTCAGCACAGAGACCACATCCCTTCCCTTTTCTCCCTCCCCACAGGATTGGCC